>NC_000002.12:206580527-206883557 GCF_000001405.40 Homo sapiens | reverse complement strand
CACTAGAATCGCGTTAAGCATGATATGGCTTTTAACTCTTCTATCTCTTAGGATTGATGTGAGAATACCTAAGGAGAAAAAAATGAGTTATGAAAATATAGATAATTGTTGTTTTATATATATTTAATTTTAATAATCAGGAAATAAAAGGAAATAGCATGGTCTTATTGGAGTTTGAGATGGTAATCACTCCCCCTCTTTTCTCTGAGCCCCAAACTAGCTAATAGATACAGGGGTTTTAAAAAAATCTGTATAGTGCTACCAAAACCATATTGAAGAACCTTGGACTTGAGGCCAATATAGGCATCCTAATGCTTTTTCTTCATTTGCCTCCGCCACACACACACAAGGACATCGGACATGCAGAGCCGATTCTCACTCCACTTGCTGCATAGAGGACCTGGGGCTTCCTCCTTCCTTTTGAGTGCAGAGACAAAGTGAATGATGCCACAAGTACATGCAGCCTTTTAAGCATTGACCCCCTGACCCAACAGCAGACCACTGAATGCCTGATCCTCACCATCACACCAAACAGATAAATGCCACTCTTCTTTTGTGGAAAGTGGTCAGAAAAAGGAAAAGCACTTTTTCCTCTCACTTCAGACAGGTTGGAATTTCTATTTCGTTGGCCAAGAAGAACAAGAAGTAAGAGAGAGAAGATCTCCCTCCCACCCTACAAGGATGTCTTGCCAGTGACTCTAGTCACAAGAAGGATATGGCTGCAGGCTGGCAGGGTGCTGCTTTTAACTGTGCCCACTGTGGCTGCCTGGACAAGACACCAGAATGAACAGTGGAGTAGAGGCAATGGAAATAATGCTGGTGCTTGCCTGAGCCTGGACTGCCCAAGAAAAGTTAGGGTGTGAAAGTCAAGAGGGAAAAGACCCGTTGATCAAACAGTAGATGTCTAGAGACTCCGTCATTTCCTATATGGTTAACTCGAAGTTAGGGTTTGGAAATAAAGTCTTCTTTAAAAAACTTTTGATAGATAAAGAAGGCAGATCTTCACAATATTGAGGAGGAAGCAGCTGCATATTTTGGCAACCATTTAGAGGAAAAGAGTGAATACATGAAAAATATTGCTGCAAGAATATAAAGGAGGAATCTAAATAGACAGCCAAGAAAAAAAGTGAAGAGTAGAGAACAGTAAATTTAGGAGATCTCCATATGACGTGGTTTCTCAAAGATGGTGTATAAAAAAATAACAGCCAGGGAGCGAGGAGAGAGGGATAGAAGCAAAAGGCTTGGAACAGTGAGCACCAAATCGAGGAAAAACTTTCCTGAGACACTTAAAAGATAATCAGAGAAACAGACTAAAGACTCAGAAAGGGCAGTTTGTCTGGAGCTAGAAATGGAAAGAATCACAAGCAGACGCCTCCTACTATGTCAGACTCTTAATGGACCGAGAAATCTGCTGCACTAATAGCTCTGAACCAATTGCTTTGCATGAGATTCTGGGCTAGTCCAAATGACTTTGCCAAACTTCAATTTCCCATTTTAAACACAGAACAAATAATCATTTCAAAGTGTGTGTAGCATTAGAGCTATCAAGTTGGCTCACTGGAAAGAAGCCAAGGAGTTTTTATCCTCAAGAGTTTTCTGATACGATTCAGAGAAAGGCTTGATTGGCCACGTCTGTAACACGCCTTTCCCTCTCTACCCCTCTCACCTTCAGAGTGTGCTTTGCCTCATCTGCTTGCTCATTCCTTTGGAGAACGCTGAGCCACCACTTCACTGTCTTCCGTGTTTGGCATCTCCACCAACAGACCCGACATGGCCACAGAGGATTAACTGTTGATATAAATTTAAGAGTTCCTTTGACTTTAGATGACTCTCTGTTCTTAAGCTAGCTACTTATCTTACTTGGATAAAAGATGTGCTATTTGTGGATAATCAAATGGTAGATTTTGCTGAAAGCAACCCTAAAAACTGTCATTGGGCTCTGAAATTAAAATAAAGTCAAAGCCCAGCTGATAAGAGCAGCAGTCATCAAAGGGTGTTACTAACTCTGAACTGAGTAAGGGATCATTTAGTCAAGATTTAAATATCTGAATTTCTAAATGATACCATTTGGAATCAATCCTTTTCTGCTAGTCAGCCAAGTGAAGGAATAAAGAGAAAGTTGATGAAAACATTCTTGACTACCTGTTGGAAGGAATGGAAGGAAACTAAAATTAAGTGGGATTATTTTAAAGACCATAAACTTTGCTAGCTGATTTTATACTTTAATCTCATTATGACATCGATATCACTGTCTGCATTTTAAAGGTACAAAAACCTATATTCTGAGGTTAAGTCACGCATTCACATTCACAAAACTGTTAAGTGACAAACCCAGAATGCCCCAAATTGAAAGCTTTAATACAAAGATACAGTACAAAGCAAGCATGCCCACTTTTACCACTTCTATTCAATAATACTAAAAGTACTAACAAAAGCAATTAGACAAGAGAAAGAAGTGACAGACATCTAGATCAAAAAGGAAGAAGTAAAATTACCTCTATTTGCAGATATGATCCTACATTTAAAAACCCCAAAGATTCTACACACACACAGGAAAAACTGGTAGAACTAATAAATGAATTCAGTAAAGTTGCAGGATACAAAATCAACATATGAAAATTAATAGCATTTTATATACCAATGAAAACCTAACTAAAATAGAAATTAAGAAAGCGATCCTATTTATGATAGCATCAAAAAATGCTTAGGAATAAATTTAACCAAGGAATTAAAAGCTTTGTACACTGAAAACTATAAAACACTGAGGAAAGAAATTGAAGGAAAGAAGAATAATGGAAAGATTTCCTATGCTCATGGATCAGAAGAAATAATATTGTTAAAATGTTCATACTACCCAAAGCAATATTATGTGGATTCAACCTAATCCCTATAAAAATCCCAATGGCATTCTTCACAGAAATAGAGAAAACAATCCTGAAATTTGTATGGAAACATAAAGGACCCTGAATAGTCAAAACAATTCTGAGAAAGGAGAACAAAGTTGGAGGCATCACATTTCCTGATTTAAAGTGATATTACAAAGTGATAGTAATTAAAACAGCATACTAGTGGAATAAAAACAGACACGTAGAGCAGTGGAACAGAATACAGAGCCCAGAAATAAATCCAAATGTTTATGGTCAACTAATTTTTGATAAGGGTACCAACAAGGCACAATGGGGAAAGAGTAGGCTCTTTAAGAAATGGTACTAGGAAAAATGGATTTTCACAAGTAAAAAAATGAAATTGGGCTCTAATACCATATACAAAAATCACTTCAACATAGATAAAAGACCTAAATATAAGACTGGAAACCATAAAACTCCTAGAAGAGAACATGGAGAAAAGCTCCTGGGCATTGGCTTTGGCAATGTTTTTTAAAGGTACCACATGAAAAGCTCAGTTCACAAAAGCAAAAATAAATAAATGGGAATCTATCAAAATAAAAATCTTCTGATAGCAAAGGAAACAATGATCAAAATGAAGAAATGGCCCATGGATTGAGAAAAAATATTTGCAAATCGTATGTCTGATAAGCTGGTAATATTCAAATTTATAAAGAACACATATAACAACCTTATTTTTTAAATGGGCAAAAGACCTGAATAGACATTTCTCCAAGGAAATAAACATTGCCCACAGGTATATGAAAGGGTGTTCAACATCATTAATCATCAGGGAAATGCAGATCGAAGCCACTGTGAGATACCACCTCACACTCATTAGGATGGCTATTACCAAAAAGTCAAAAGACAACAAATGTTAGTGAGGGTATGGTGAAAAAGGAACTCATACTCTGTTGGTAAAAATGTAGATTGGTGGAGCCATTATGAAAAACAGTATGTGATTTCTAAAGAAATTGACAATAAAACTACCATATGACCTAGTAATCCTCCTTCTGGGCACATCCAAAGGAAATAAAACTAGCATCTCATAAAGATATTTGCACTCTCATGATCATTGCAGCATTATTCACAGTAGCCGAAATATGGAAACATCCTAAGTGTCTGTCAACTGATGAATGGATAAAGAAACTGTGACTGATACACACACATGCACACACACACACACACACACACGGGAATATTATTCAGCCCAAAAAAACCCAAGATCTTACCATTTGGCACAATGTGGATGAACCTGAAGGACATTATGTTAAGTGAAATCAGCCAGACCTAAAAAAGGAAAACATTGCATCATCTCACTTATATGTGGAATCCTAAAACAAAAACAAAAACAAATATTCAGAAGTAGAGAACAAAACAGTGGTTGCAGGGGAGAAGGAAATGGGGAGATTGTAGGTCACAGGACAAAGTGGCAGATATGTAGGATGACTAAGTCTAGAGAGCTAATGTACAACGTGAGGACTATAGGTAATAAAATGGTGCTGTATTTGGGATTCATGCAAAATGAGTTGATTTTAGCAAAAAAAAAAAGGTGATAACTACATGAGATGATGAATACATTCATATTGTAACCTTATTTTACTGTCTATATGTATCCCATAACATTGTGTTGTTGTATACCTTAAATAAGCACAATAAAATTGTTAAATAATACATATATATCAATTAAAATAGACTAAAACATATTCAGTTAGCAGTGACCATAGCTTTAAGTATCCCTGTTGCTCACATTCTCCTCACTAAGAAGTAATAATCATTGGGCCAGGCGTGGTGACTCACGCCTGTAATCCCAGCACTTTGGGAGGCTGAGGCGGGTGAATCACCTGAGGTCAGGAGCTCAAGACCAGCATGGGCAACATGGGGAAACCCCGTCTCTACTAAAAATACAAAAATTAGCCAGGTGTGGTAGCATGGTACTGTGGTGGCGTGCTTCTGCAATCCCAGCTACTCAGGAGGCTGAGGCACAAGAATTGGTTGAACCTGAGAGGCAGAAGTTGCAGTGAAGTGAGATTACAACATTGTACTCCAGCCTGGGTGACAGAGTGAGACTCCGTCTCAAAAAAAAAAAAAAAAGTAATGATAATGACAATAATGTCTCATGACGTTTATTGAATGATACTTTATGTAGACATCCTACCAACCATATTACCTGGATGTCTGATTTTTGTTTTCATTTCCACCCTGTAATGCTGGCTTATTTGATAGCTCTATTTAACAAATAAAGATACTGAATGAAGCTTAGATTTAATGACTTGAACATAGTCACATAGCTAGTAAGTGGTCAAGTGGGGTTCTACCACGGAAGGTCAGATTTTGGTCTTTAACCTTAGCATCGATAAACAAAGACATGCTTTTATAATATTATCAGCCAACACTTACTACAGGGGCAAGTGATTTGAAGCATATTTCCTGTGGTAAAAATATTCTCAACATGGCTGATTTTTAGCTATCAATGTGAAATTACTGGCTTACAGTGCACCTGAACATTTAATAATCAGTGCTTTTGTTCCTGTACTGACCAGCTATATCCAACATCAGACATGTACTTTGACGTATTAGGGAAATTTGCTTAATGATTCCATATGTTAGAAAGGCTGAAATGCTCACCTAATATGTCTCAGAGCCACGGGGTTAGAGTTGGGTAACATTGGTGTGAACTGACCTGGTTAGTTGTGGAGTAAAACTGGTACTTGAACTCAGGGTCTTGAACAATGAGAGACACTTAGGGAGGCAGCAAGGCATCCCAGGTGCAGAGTCATGAGCAAATAGGGGATGTTTGGGAGACAGTGAGATTAGACTGGCCCAGAGTAGTTTGGGATGAAGAGTCTAGAAAGGAGCTCATTTGACAGAGGAATATCTCATTTAAGGTCTTAAATGAGTGGGAGACGGAAGCTGAGGTCTTCAGCTTCCTTGGGTTGGACTGTGGAGGAGGCAGTGGTACCCATCCAGAGGGCAGCACCTCTGGGCAATGGCATTTTATGTTTTTCTGTGGATCACTCCAGGTGTTCAGATTTGTAACTTCACTTTCAATTAAAATCCTCATTCCAGGGGAGTTGTTTTGTATGCAGATATGAATGATATATATTTGAAATTAACTTGAATCAATTTTTTTTTTTTGAGACAGTCTCACTGGACTGCAAGCTCCGCCTCCCAGGTTCACGCCATTCTCCTGCCTCAGCCTCCCGAGTAGCTGGGACTACAGGCATCCACCACCACACCCAGCTAATTTTTTGTATTTTTAGTAGCGACGGGGTTTCACCGTGTTAGCCAGGATGGTCTCAATCTCCCGACCTCATGATCTGCCCGCCTCCCAAAGTGCTGGGATTACAGGTGTGAGCCACTGTGCCCGGCTGAATCAAAAATGTTTTAAAGATTTTCAGGCCCTAAATTTGAAATAAAATAAATGAACTCACTTTCACTTCATTTTTCAAATGTTAGTCCTTAGTAATCTAAGGACTAAACAAAAATGCTCAAAAACAAAACAGTTTGTGTTATTTCATGTTCTTGTCTGGAATTCTGTTGCATACGCAGAGATGAAAACCCCCAAAGTGGAACCTAAGCTCAGCAGCCTTAGCAGTATTTTGCAAGAAATGGGGGATTTCAAACACCACTTGAGATCTTCGTTCCCAGAGGGAAAGAACCCCTCATAACAGTGCGTCATGCTGCTCTAAGTCGCCCTTGTTGGGTGAAGCTGCCACTCTGATATGCAATTCCAGCCCAATTCAGCTGCTTTCTGGAAGGATTATTGTCCATAGATACAGCTGGAGATGAAGATGGAGCTGAAATGAAGACCCACTTTGTTTTTCTGGGTCATTTTCTGTGTCAGAGAAACTGGTCTTAACATATTTTGCACTAGCAATATAATAGGAGACACTCAATTCACAATCAACTCAGGAGAAAACATCCCCCCTCTCTTGGAGTTGCAAATCCTTCGCCCAAATGCAGACATGTAAATAACTAGAGTAACTAGAGTCAAACTCAGAGCCTCAAGGGAGGGAATTCATAAACACTGTGCAAAGTGGTTTATAAATGTCATGTTATTATTCCTTAAAATGGGTTAGGCAGGTGTTTATCCATGCTTTTTTACAGAACAAAATGATTTTGCATTCTCAAGTCCTTCTCCTGTAGACTGGAAATGGTTACAGGCTGTCTCCAAAGAAGAAAATGAATGCATAAGAGTGCATCGCATGTCAGAGCTGGAAGGGGCCTCAGCGTTCAGCTTGCCCAGCCGGCTCATTGTGCTGAGGCCAGGAGAGCTGAAGTGACTTGCCTCGGGTCACATTGTGGACGCATTACTAGATGCACTCAGCCTGAAACCCAGCGACCTGCTCTCAATCCAGGATGATTTTTGTAACACCCCAGGGGAAGGAATGTTAATTCAGGCAAGCAAGTGACAGGGTGTCATGTAGCCACCTGGAATGCTAAATCTAAGTCAATAATGCCACTATATTTTGAAAATGTAAATATAGAGGTTAGTACACAAACAATACAGATTGATCTTTTAAAGAAAATAAAAATATAGATAAGAAAAATAATGAATGGAAAATGAAATAATCATCTTACCACCCGGAGAGGGTCACTAATTGAACCTTGGTATCTGCATCTCTGAATGTTTCTATCCTTACCTGTGCTTATAAATGGATTCTTACACACCTGAGACCACACAATACACACTATTTAATAACCAGCTTTGCAGCATATTTCGAGCCTCTTTTCAAGTGGCTGTATCTTCATCTATGTTATTTTTTTGTGACTGAGCAGCATTCCATAGCATGATTGCTCCATGATTTATTAAGCCAGATCCCTAATGTGAAACCTCCATGTTCTTTTGACTTTTCACCACTAGAAGCAACAGGGACATGGTGTGATCACTAAATGGGCTCAGCCTCTTTCCCATTGTGCTTCCTTAGAGCTATATCAACATGGACTTTTCTAACCTCTCTGAGCCATTTTTTCAGCTAGCAATCATGCCTCCCTCACAGGGTCATTTGGTATCTTAAGGCAGGGAACTTAGGAAGTGCTCAACATAGGTTAGTTTCTTTAGTTATTACTTAGTTATATATTTTGTTATTATTAACAACTCATCCACAAAAAATCTGTATTGCTAAATTTTAGGGTACATCCTTATTTCCTAGGAATGTCTTAGAAATTGTATTATTAAATCATAAACTATGTATGCATTTTTCACATTAATTGCTAAGTTGCCCCCTTAAAACACTGTGCCAAGTCATTTTCCCATGAAAAGAAACAAGAGGGCTCATTTCCTCACACATTCTGCACACTGGCATTATAATTTTTTTTATGATCTTTGCTAAATTTAGTTGTTAAAAAGATACGTCATTATTGTTTTAATTTTATTTCTCTGTGTTTTGGAGACATTAAAACGTGTTGACCATTTACATTTCTTCTTCTTCTTCCTTTTTATTTTTTTGACTTGTCTCTGACACAGTTTGATCTCTCTGGAATTGGTCATGAAGTTCACTTAGCAGCTGCTTTAGCCGTTTGGGTCAAGGGGGAAAAAATAGTCCAAAGACTATAAGCATCCTGAGGGCAGGAACTTGGACTGTTTTCCTCATTGTGATCACTCTCTATAATGGTTGCTTGTGAAATGTATCCAGTAGGCATTGGTGGAATGGCTAACTGAACACATGAATAGATGGATGAATGATGGGTGCAGGACCATAAGAATGGTTTCCTACAGTAGTCCTGCAGCAATTGCCATGACATAGATCTCCAGTTTGCCCAGTGTTCCCTTCATTCCATTTAAAGAAAGATACCTAGACAGGAACCACATGGATGGTGAAACTCTCACTACTAGAAACTCCACCCCATTGCAAAGGTTTTCTTGGTATTCAAGCACACAGGCAGCTCAGATTTACAGATAAAGGGTTAGAGGAGGACAGCCTGAGTAAGCAATAAGTGTTCATCAAATAAATGAAATTATCTTTAATTTTAATTGATAAATCAAATCTATATCGTGCACCAACCAGGCAAAGGAACGAGGCTCTAGAGGAAGCAAGTCTGTTAGGAACATAGAGCGAGCAGCAGTGTGTGGTGCTGTCCCTATCCTCAAGTTCCTTCAGGGCTTTCAGATGCTACAGGAGCCAGGCAGGTAAGTAATTGTGGTAATGCAGCCAAGTGAGGGAGCACAACCTTGATTTAAAGGGGACAGTCACTCCTTAGCTCTAGACAAGTGCTGCCTTACCAAGAACATGGGTCTAGAGTTGTCAGACTCGGAAATGTTGTGTGAAATCTCCTGACTGGATGTTGATTCAGTTTTTCAAAACATTGTGTCGGGCAAACAAAAGGTTAGATCTGGCCCATGGGGGTAGTTTATAACCAGGAAGCTGATGGCTCAAAAAAAATAAGGCAGCCAACCAGCACATGAGCATCAGGAGGACAGGTGGTAAAATGCAGGGGATGCCAGGGAGGAAGTAGTGATCACAGGGTGAGGCAGTTGCAGACAGAAGTAAGGCATGAGCTCAGTGGTAAGGCAATGTTTGGATAGGTTGAAAGGATGAAGAAAACACTGAATGAATTCCTCAGTCTTTAAAAACCTACGACCAACAGAGAAATGGTGTGCAGAGCATGGAGGCAGAGTCAGGACAAGGCACATGAAGCAAGTGGTTAAATAATCCATTGTGAATACTAGGACCTGGTGAATTCAGCAAGACATTAGAAAGCTACAGTTTGGTGAAAATAGCAAACCCAAGTCCCAGGAGGACAGAGAGTCCTGTCCAACCTCCTCAGCATCACGGATGCAGCTCTTACCCTTGTTCCCCTGAAAGTTACTCACTATACCTCCAATTTTGGACATCCATCAATAGGTGTGGTGTGGTACCCTCAATTAGCCTCACAAAAATCAGAAGACTCACAAGCCTTACATTGCAGAATTTGTGCTGGCAGACTCCCATGCTACCATTTTCCAAACTGCTTCCCATCCTCTTTCTCTTTAAACAGAGACTCATGTATGATGTTATATTTTTCTGTTTGAAAATGCTCCAGCTGAACACTCGCATGGTTACCATGGCAACTATCAGGTAGCATCGTCTTGTGCCTGAAGCTGAGACTGCCAGCAGGAAAGCCAATACAGTAGTATATTGTTTCTTCCTGGATTAATCTTTTAAACTGTAGCCTATAGTGTTCCCATAATATATTTGTTCAGAAGCTTGAGTGGTTTATTGAATTTAATGTGCCATGGCTCTTCTTTGACTGAGCAATCCATTCAGTAGTAAGCCTTTATTTTGAATTTTCTCCTTTGCAATGATAAAGTGCAGTGCCTACTTTAGGGTATGTTTTGTGATTTCTAAGATTCTAAGAAAGAAAATGGTTTTATACATACAAACAGACTCTGCCTTTTTAATCTCACATTAGTTGAAGAATTATTCATCTTATTTTGACTGGATTCAGGTGGGCTGTTTGCCAAACAAACATCTGATTTCTAGATAGTGAATACATCATCAGAAGAGAGCTAATATATTTCCGTGCCTGGCAAACACTACAAGGAGGCAAGAAGTAAAAGCCAGCTGGTTCAGCCATAGAGTGGCTATGAATTCCAAGTCCTGTGAAATGTACCCCTCCACCTATGTCCTAATAGAGTGTCCATGCCTCCCAGCCTCTCTGAATGAGGTAGGAAGTGAAGAAGGCAGAGGATAAAGGCACATTTACTGCCTAAGTGGAGTAAACACAGTGGGCCAGCATGGATGGAAGTGTTCTTTCTTCAGGATCAATAAAATGAGAGGCTCAATTGTTTCAGAAAATTTCAGAGTAGACTGGGGACCAGAGGAGAATAGGGCATTTTTTCTTTTTTTTTTTTTTTTTTTTGAGATGGAGTTTCACTCTTGTTGCCTAGGCTGGAATGCAACGAATGGCGCTCCACCATCTCAGCTCACTGCAACCTCTGCCTCCTGGGTTCCAGTGATTCTCCTGCCTCAGCCTCCCGAGTAGCTGGGATTACAGGCATGCGCCACCACACCCGGCTAATTTTGTATTTTTAGTAGAGATGGAGTTTCACCATGTTGGTCAGTCTAGTCTCGAACTCCCGACCTCAGGTGATCTGCCTGCCTCAGTCTCCCAAAGTGCTGGGATTACAGGCATGAGCCTCTGCGCCCGTCCAAGAACAGGGCATTTTATTAAGAGTTGTTATACTTGTGCTTGGACCTTTAAATGTTTGAGAGGAAGGTGGGTAAACACTGGAATCCCTCGAGGCTATGCTTTTTTGAGTGTGAAACTATTCAGGACAGGACTGGATCACATGGGTAAAGGTTTGATATGCAATAGAATTTTTTTAATAGAATTTTTTCTAACGACTTATTGATATATCAAACTATTAACTAATTATAAAATATTTAAGGTTATGCTTTTCATTCAATGGATATAAGCTGGACACCTCCCCTGCTTTGATTTTTTTAAGATCAGTCCTCAGGCACAAATAGTCTCATCATTGGCCAAAGAATGAACTTTTTCTGGTAATTTACTTAAGATTATTATTATTAAGAGTAATAATGTTATCATTACTTTTTAATAATCTAATGAACACCCATAAACTCATCATCTTTTATTCACAACTTGGTGTCTTGTGGGAGGCACAAACGTGAAGGAAATGGATCATTCCTTTCAAGAATCTTGTGGTAGGCTGATAATGGCTCTTAGAACTGGGGAATTTATAAAGAAAGGGAATTTATTACGTGCAGTTCTGGAGGCTGAGAAGTCCAGTGTTGAGGGTGTCACATCTGATGAGGGCCTTCTTGCTCATGGAGACTCTCTGCAGAATTCCAAGGCAGTACACGGTGTCACATGGCAAGGGGGTAAGGCAGCTGAGCTTGCTGGCTCAGGTCTCTCTTCCCCTTCTTATAAAGCCACAAGTTCCACTTCCATGATGACCTACTAATCTATTAACCTATTAATTCATGAATGCATTAATCCATGGGGATTCATGGGCTCTGCCCTCATGACACAATTGCCTATTAAAGGCCCTACCTCTCAACATTGTCACATTGGGGATCAAGTTTCAACACAGGTTTCAAAGGGGACAAACATTTGAACCATAGCAGTAGAATAATGAGCAGCTGGAATGGCAGCAGCTCCACTAGCACTTACTGAACATCTCTGTGCTCAGCATTTTACATGCAATATCTTTTAATTCCCCCAAACAATACCATCAAACAGGTATTACAATTATCAGCACTTTATAAATAAGGAAATTGAGGCTTAATATGTTAGAAAAATTCCCCCAAATTCTGCATGTAATTAGTGGTCATTCAAGAGACTTAAGTAACTAAGTATTAAAAAGATCATGGTTCACCCTCTACCTCACCTTTTATATAATTTAAGAAATACACACACACACATGCTGAACTCTAAAGTCCAGATCATTCATGTATGCCAAAATTAAAATATCTTCTTTCTAGATTTTTCTAATAGAAAAATTCTGCATAATTTAATTGAACTTTCAGCTTTCTGTATCCTTGTGGCCTTTGCTTTATGAGTACTGTAAGCCATACATCATTTGCCTAATAAGAAAACTGCTATATGTGCCTGACGCAACATATTTTATACAAGAATGTGTAAAATATATTCAGGAAACAGGGAGTAGAGCAGTTTTGTGATGCACAGATGTTTGCGTCAGAGGGACACGGGGGGAAAAAACCCAGAACTTTCATTTAAACCAGATTGTGAAGAACACTGAAAATCCAATCTAAGGGGTCTGAACTTGATCCTGTAGTTAGAAGTTGGTGGAGGTAAGTAAGGAAAGATAACCAGACTAGTAATTAAGTAATTAAACTAGTATTGAGAGTTTGGGGTGCAGACAGTGGCAGATTACAGGGACTCAAGGAAAAACTAGGCAGTGTGGAAATGGAAGCAGAGGGGATAAGGCCCTCATTGGAGGTGCCTGGCAGTGGAAGAAAGGAGACAAGCAGAATGGTAGCTGGGATGGGCAGCAGCAGGTCAAGTCACGCTCTTCTCCATAGGAGGGACCTGGCAGATGTGGGGCAAAAGAAGATGGGAAATAAAGCTAGTAACGTTTAACAGGCCCAGGGTGAAAGCAGAAGCTGGGCCTAGATTAAAAAGCAAATGGATTACACTGAGTTCAGTAATTCTCAAAGAGTGTTCTAGGAGGTTCTGTAGTATGCACATGTCCTTTGGGGAGACTAAAGTCTAATTTCAGAGAAACGAATGCTGTGACAACGTCTGTTCTTTAGTTTCTCCATGAGTCAACACCTTCATTCACAAAATATTTCAGTAATATTTAAAGTGCTGAGAATAGGAAGTATGTGTTTCCTTCTCACCCTGGCCCAACTCTGGCTCCTGGGATGCCCAGCACAGAGGTTGTGTTTAATCAAGGTGAGCTAAAAGAATGAATGGTGACTAATGGCCTGACTCTGCCACCTAGGAGTTTGGTGATCTTGAGCAAGTCACCTAAGTCTGTTTCCTGGTTTGTGAAGGGTAATAATATCCAATTCACAGGATTCTTGTGAATTACCAGGTAATGAATGTAAAGCATATAGCTGACACATAATACATAAAGGTCCTATTGAGACAATGGCTTATTTTGAGTTTTGGGGTACATGTGCAGGATGTGCAGGTTTGTTGCATAGGTAAACCAGACAATGTTTTGAGAAGCCTGTAGCAGAGTATTTAGGACAAAACCTATGAGTCAGTCACATTTGACTTCCAGCCCATTTCAGCTGCTTATAATCTACATGACCTTGGGCGATTTATGTAGCCTCCCTAAAACTAGTCTTTCATTTATGAATTGTGGCTAATAATATTTACATTTTTAGGGATGTCATGAAGAGTAAATGAGATATTATATGTAGGGCTGACTGTCTCCTTTTAAATTAATATACAAATTTAAATGAATATTCTACTTTTAAATGGAAAAATAAAATTGAAATCTCCAATAAAAATTGTTTGGATATGTTCTCTTATTTTTTAAAATTAACATTGCTTTGATTTCTTCTGTACTTTTCCAAGTTCAAAAAATAAATAGTGATACACTGACAAATTTACTGTCACCTCTTTTCTAGATTTTAAAAAAAAGCATTTTCTACTTCTCTGTTCTAAGCAGGGCAGAACTTTACAAATTAACATGTAAACATAATAACATACAACTCCATAATGTTCCTTATTCTAGTCTCTCTCTGGTTGGTTTCAATTCTTCAAGGTATATAAAACTAAAAAGTTTCACACTTTCTATACCCCAGATGATGTGAGACAAATGGGAAGGATAGCAAAAAAGATTTGAGAAGATTTTAGAATGTAGATTCTCACAGTTCACACCGCCTCTGAGTGCCAGTCCATAATATCACTTCTAGATGATTACTGAAGACATGAACATGAAGAGATAACAATTAGATATGACACTTCAGGGTCTAAAATCCCATGAGATTCTGCTTAAAAACGGTCCATGTGGAAACTTTCAAAACCTGAAATTAGTTTGAATATATTAGAAACTCTTCTCACACACACTAATAACAGACAAATGAACTTGACACCAGCCCATGGAGATAGTTAAAAGAAGTATTATGGTCCAACGCTCTCGGTAGCAAATTGGGAATATCTGTGTGTTCTAACTGTACTCCATACACATGCAGCATGCAAAATGATTGGGTGTTCATGAGACTAAGAAATGATTAAAACAAGGTCCCTGGCATATAGGGGCTCAAGGCCCAATGAAGAAGGCAGATATTTAACATAAGTGTTATAATAGAGAGCAGGATGATGGGTTATGGGAGTACACTGTTTGTTTGTGGAGAATGAAACTCTTAAACTGGATTAACACATTTAGCAAAACCTATAGTAATTTGGTTCTTAATTCACTAGCTATAGATTGAGAGACAGTCAGTCCATGGAAGCCAATCTTTAGCTAAATATTAATCTCTTCTAATTTCACATTCTTTCTTTTTAAGACTTCCATCTCTTCTGCCTCTGATTGGAAATTGAGGTTATGATGCTATAATGCATTGAAAAATCTATTGGAAGATAGATTTGAAAAATAAATCCGTTGAAAAAATTCTTAAAGACAGCCCATTGTTTATTTGATCTGCCCTGTACCAAGATATTAATTTGAGTAGTGAATTGTTGCTATATTTGTTTCTAATTTGGTTGGTAGGTACACTAGCTACAAAATAAGTGAATTCTGAAATGGCAAAAGGCTGCAAGAAAACAAATCTATCAAGCATTATAAGAAGATTGATGTTATTGAAAAGAAGGAAAGAGTCAGTTAAATGGAAATTTCAAAGATGTTAATACCTTAACATCGTAAAATTCAAGGTTTAGATGTATCCTGAAAGCCTCTGAACTGAAAAGCTCAAGAGCTGGTTCTAGTTCTGCCTCTGACTTTATCGAGGTCTGGACAAGCCATCGTCCTTGGTGTCAGTTTCCTAAGCCTATAAAATGAGGGCTTTGTATGAATTAGAACTCTTTTGGACATAAGTGAAAGAAATCCAGTTTAAACTAGCTTACTTTTAAAAAGGGGTTTTGTTGACTTTTTTAATAACTGAAAAGGGTATATCAACTTCAGGCATGGCTGGATCTTGGTGCTTTAAGTGACATCATCAGAACACTATTACTCTTCATCTACCGGACTCTGCTTTTTATTGTGTTGGCTGCATCCTCAGGCACATTCTCCCACTACAGTAAGATTCTTACTCACATTGCCAGGTTTACAACCCAAAAAGAGTTTGTCCTTCACCATAATTCCAGAAGAAGTTCAGAATTTTCATTGGACTCAGGCTGACTTCAGTCACATCCCAAAAACACCCACTGTGTAATGGCAAACACAGTGTTTCAACTGGCCAGACCGAGGTAAAATGATCTTCTCTAGAACCAAAGGTGGAGTCAGAACAAAGAGTGAGGAGAGACTGATTTCCAAAGGAAAACCAAGAGCTACAGAATAGAGGGGAAATGGATTTTGGAAGCCCTGAAAAAACAGGTGATCACTATAGAGTGAAACACATTGTCCATAAGGCCCTTTCCAACCCCTATATGTCTAAATTTGTCTCTTGAAATCTTTCCTTTATTACATAAGGAAATTGTTACCAAGAAAGACCAGTGATTTGCCCAAGTCTCATAGCGAGTTAAGGACAGAAACAGAACCTTGGTTTCTTAATTTGCAATCCTGTGCTCTTCGTCTATTCAAGGGTTCTATCTCCAGGGATCACAATGGACTCAACAGAAAATGGTTCCTAAACTGTGAATCCTACCATTTCAGACAAGTTTCCTAAAAAAGACTATTTTCCTTATTTCTCCTGAAGATGACACGAGGAACCTCTGATAACCTCTGCATTGCCTAATTTGGTTGGCTGACTCTTCTTTGAATATGCTACACATGGCATCTGTTTCCAGTCCAGCTGAAGATGCTTTGAGTTCTCATTTTTAATGTCTAAGAAGAACACACTCATGGTTACCATAGCAACTGTCTAGAGGTGACTCCTTATGTGTGGAGATGAGGATGCCAACGACAATGTTGTTTCTTTTTCTTGATCTAGACTAGCCCTGTGGGTGGGGCCCACGGCCTGGGTGATTTTCTTTTTTAAGCTTTTCAGATGATAATGTGCAGCCCTGGGATAGCCCTGTAAATTCTTATTAAGACAGATTTGACTGACAGTTCAAATAGTTCATGCAATTCCATACCCCCTGTTTCACTTCAGAACTTCCCGTAGCACATACCTGGTAACTTATTTTAAATTGCATCTTTTTTTTTTTCCTCTTCTCAAACGATCTTGTCCGTTCTGGCATATCATGTGATTGCTGGCTTTTCAAGGTGCAAACTCATGAATATTCTTAATGAGAACTGTGGTTTCTCAATCTCTTTCAAATTGGGCTATGTTGGAACTTAATTGCAGCTAGGGACCGGGAACATCTGGCAGGTCTAACAGCCATGATCTGTGCTTCTGAATAAGCCATATGAATTACCAGCAGAGTGGCACGTCACCATGATTGCTGATATGCTGTGGAGATGTGGAGGAAGAAGGAAGCAAAGCAAATGACCTCTCAGTTAAGTTTTCCAAAAGGCTCAGGTGATTAACAGGCTACAGGCAAAGTTTACTCTTCAATTGAAAGCATAAGCAACAACATAAAACAGGCACACCTGCCATCCAAATAATTTAGAGATGGTGAAAAGAAACATCCCATTTTTTTACATTAGCAGGCTGTCCAATGTTTGGCAGCTCTTTCCCAGATGATTTTATTTTCCTTCCTTCATTAGTAGGAAGCTCAAAATAAGTTCTATTCAATTTCATATAATGGACTTGATTTATGTCAAAACATTGTTCTGGTTATGACCTATGCAGTGATAGTCTTCAAGGGAATGTGGCTTGATATTTAAAATGTAGCCTTTGGAAACTGAGTGGAAAATATTTAATAGAGAAATCCTGTCTTATTTTTGAGACTTTAATAGAATAAATTTAAATTTAAATCTTCATAATTGAAAATCATGTGGAGTGTTTTGGTAAACAATAACGGAGGATTTACTCAGTAAATATTTATGGAGCATACACTATTTGCAAACTCTTTAGGTAGGTGCTCTAAGGAATATAAAGATGAATGTTCCTAGGATGTTTGCAATCTGCTAGAAGAGATGAGAGAGGCATTAATAACTAGAATGCTAGGCAATATTTGATAAAGTATGATAGGAGTTAAAGTACTTAGAGTTTGAACTTGGCAGGGGCAAGGTAAAAGGATCCGTAGGAGCAAAATTTCATAAGGAACAAATGGAAAAGCAAGGGTTGAAGGTGAGACTCATCAAGTGTCTACAGAGTGAGAAGCAGGTTACAGATTTTTTTTATGCACTATCAAATTTAATTCTTGAAAGAATCCTATGAGATTATTCTCAATTTACAGATGAATAGACTGGAAATCAAAGATGTTAAATAATTTCTCCATGATCACTCAGCCAGTTACTAGTGGCACTGGAATGGAATATGCACATTCAGGGGAAAGTGACCAGCACAGTTCGGTTCATTTATAAGGAGGTTTGGAAAAGGAGGCTGGAAGGTAGTCAATCAAGGGAAGATCACACAGGGCTGGAATGCCAGGCTGATCAATTCAAAGTCAACTCCATAGGTAATAGGACTCATTCACGGTCTAACCTAAAACAGCCAGGGAACCCATTCCCCAAGAGCTCTGAGTGAAGCCAAATGCCACAGCCTATGTCTGTTAAAAGCTCTCCCCACATTTTCCATGCTTTCTTGCATTTCTTTCCTCTCATTTCCCAACATCTCCATGCTCCTGCACCTTGCACATCTATTTAGATACCATGCACAAGTGAATCCCAGGTGTCCACAGAAATCCACCAGCTTCCAGTATGTTACTAGTTTGGGAACTTTTCTTTTTTTAGGCAGAATTTCACTTTTGTCACCCAAGCTGGAGTGCAATGGCACCATCGCAACCTCCACCTCCCAGGTTCAAGTGATTCTCCTGCCTCAGCCTCCAGAAGTAGCTGGGATTACAGGCGCCCGCCACCACGACCAGCTAATTATTATTATTATTATTATTTTGTATTTTTAGTTGAGATGGGGTTTCACCATGTTGGCCAGGCTGGTCTTGAACTCCTGACCTCAGGTTATCCATCCGCCTCGGCCTCCCAAAGTGCTGGGATTACAAGGGTGAGCCACTGCACCCAGCTGAATTTGGGAACTTTTCTAAAGATGAATGGAAGTCATGGGGCAAGATTACATCAAGGATTGAGATGTCTTCTGCCATCGCTTAGACCTCTCCCTCTATCCCTGAGTTTGGTTTTTCTCCTCTCTTCCCTTCTGACAGACAAGAAGTTGTTCTTATTTGTCCCTAGCAGGGCAGCTCCACCCATGCACTGAGGTGGATCCTTGTGTTGCTTCATTTTCTCTCCCAATACCTTGAGGTATTTCTTTTTTTTTTTTTTTTGAGACAGAGTCTTGCTCTGTGGCCCAGGCGGGAGTGCAGTGGCGCAATCTCGGCTCACTGCAAGCTCCGCCTCCCGGGTTCACGCCATTCTCCTGCCTCAGCCTCCCGAGTAGCTGGGACTACAGGCGCCCGCCATCACGCCCGGCTAATTTTTTTGTATTTTTAGTAGAGACGGGGTTTCACCGTGTTAGCCAGGATGGTCTCGATCTCCTGACCTCGTGATCCACCCGCCTCGGCCTCCCAAAGTGCTGGGATTACAAGCGTGAGCCACCGCGCCCGGCAAGGTATTTCTTTTAAATAAATGTATGGTTTTCCTTGGGAGGACTTCCAGTAGGACAGATATAGGATTGGCAACAGCCTGCTGGCCATCGCCCTTGTGCAGCATGAGCCAATAAGGACTTTCCCAAAATGTTGGCAGTAAGGCTGGAAGAATAAAGGATGGGCATGAGATAGTGGAACGAATAAACTATTTTTTGAATGATGGGAAGGAGAGTTTTTCTATTTTGCAGATTCCTTTGTACCATGAAAACTACCGAACTTTTTAAAAATAAGGTCTATGGTATTTTTTTTCTTCCTGGTCAAAAAGCTTTCATTCTATCTAAGTTTGGGGTATAAGGCAGTATTCTCTCCAGTTATAAAATAGAATGTCAGCAGGTGGCCTCAGAAAAGAATTTTCCTAACATGCTCTATACTTTTATCAAGGAAATTTTTCATGCCACTAGATTTTTTTAAAGTCGTGATTTAGTTTCCAGACACTTAAACCTTTGTTTCCATTCAGTTTGCTTTGAAAAGCAGCAGATTAGCTAGAGCACAAGATTGTCTATGATCAGCTGAGCGGCAAGGATCACTGACACAGCGAGAGGGCAGGGAGGACGAGTCATTTGTCTTTTCAGCAGGCACACACAAATGATCCTTTCCTGCCATATGTTCCAGAGAATTCTTTTCCTTCCCTTCAGGTACTTGACCCCCTATTGGATAGAGGCATTGATCAAAGTTGAAGCTGTAGAGTGATAGAATAGCTTTAGTTTTCAGTAAATCAAATCCTAAAAAAAGAATTAAAAGTACAATTATTGATATTAAATTCCTACTCTCAAGTCTCTGGCTTATGTGAACATGGAGATGTTGCTTAACTCTCCTGTACTTTTGGCTTCTTTTTAAAAATATAGACAACCCAAAAATTCTACAATGAGATAGAAATTTTTGTATGACTTCTACTGACCTTAGAGATGGAACCTCTTAAGTAAAGGATGGTAATTTGAAATAAAGCTCCTTGTGTCTATTTCCAAAGAATTATGACTTGGAAGGTTCATGTGAGGTGAAGGAGAACAAGAAGAAATAGACATCAAGTTGAGATGCCGTGCCAAACATCTGGAAGAGGGAATGAGAGCATTATGGGAAAACAGATGGAGGGAAGCTTGGCCAGATAAAATTAAAGGCAACGCCGCTCAGCATCTGATTAGCTAAGAGAATTCTATTTAAAAGGAAAGTATCTATAAAACCTGTACTTTAAATATTCTCTTGACAGGAGAACACTTTAAAAAATTAGGGCTCTTATCAGGCCTTGAGGTTTACTTTGAAGGTTTTAATTTACTAATAACTGAGTACATTGTTGCTTTTTTCTTTTTATTAGAAATAAGTCTCTAATTGATAACCAAAAGGCTTATAGATAAAGACTTACACTAAAAATTATTTCTATGCTATTTTAATGAGCCTACTGAAATTCCATTTGAAAAATTAGGGTCCAAATCAAGCATTTGTTGGTGTGAGTTAATTATCTGTGTTTGTCGAGAAACGCTGATAAGGCCTCTTTGGGAATTGGCTTTACCTCTGCAAGAAAGAGCTTACTTTGGTGTATGAACATTTTATCCATTAGCTATATTGAGCACAGGGCTGAAGACTCACAAGCTTTGCAAAGGTACAATAAAATTTTTAAGATCTGATCTTAAAAAATTTATTGGGTCCAAAAAAAATTAAACTCTAAAATGGACATTGATAATAATATCAAGAATATATAAGAATATCAAAAGCAAAGTTACAAAGATGTTTTCACATTTTTACACCAAAATACTGTATTGTATTTAATGTGACAAATGTGATATTAGCCCTCTAAAATCAAGATGCCCAGGTAGTAAAATAGCCTTGCCAGAGTGTGGAAAAGCATCCTTTTGAGACAGCATGCACATTCTTCTGCTATACATTCCTTTTGTAGCTCAAATTTCCCCAAGTCCCCCAGCTTCCTGGGGCCACTCTTTCCTTTACTATTCAAATAAAATGATTGAGTCCCCAATTCATGAACTGGGAGGTGTAGAGCATTTGCCAAATGATTCTGTGGTATTCCCTGGAGGTCTATTGATGTTCTAATATCCTCTTGCCAAGACTTTCTGCTTCTTCTGAAGTTTTGATCCTTGCTTACTTTCCCACCTCCTGCAGCTGCTCTCTCTCTCCTCTCCCTGCTGTGTGCAGCCACCCTTCTCCTCCATGCTTCCATAATTCACCACCAACTAAAAGCCATTGTGTATGATGGGCTTTATTTGAATTTTGGGATTAATGAAGAGGCACTAGCACTGCATGATATAATAAACAACTGAAAAGTGCACACAAGAGAATACTATACTCACAGTTCCTCCACCACCACCACCGCCCGCCCCCCGTTCCCTCCAACAAGGGGAAACTGCTTACTAGAACTTTCTGGCCTTGGCCTCTGGCCTGCCACCATGTTGCTGTGGCACACTGTACCTATCCAGATTCCCATTTTCCAACTCTCCTTTTCTCTCAGCTCCAAGAGCCCCCTGCCTACCAGAAAATAAGTGAGCTTTTCTGTTACAGACTACCTAACTCATCACACTTGGTGCTTTACTTTGCATTCTGAATTATACCCATTATTGGACTCTTCTAGCAAGGACATATTTGCCCTTAATTAAATTTTGCCACGTCTTTAAAAATGTGGAAGCTGCTACATAATTTTCCTTTTTGTTTTTGAATAGCAATCTTTCCCTTCCTATAACACTTCCTCATGTGGGTCAAAACGACAAATGGCATATGCTTCAAAATGACTTATTTTCCTTGAATATATATATATATATATATATATATATTTTTTTTTTTTTTTTTGCTAAGGCTTTGGAAAAAAGAGTCCTTGGAGATGCAAATCCTTCACTACCTGATCAAAGAGACAGAGCACTAAGGACCACAGGACCCAGCTTTTGCTTCCATAGATGAACATAGTTCAACTCAAAATCTTGATTGAGTCCAGAGTAGGGAATTCAGGAGTGGATTATGCAGTGGAGAGGATCATGCAGTGGAGAGGAACATCAGAAGAAGAATTAAATAGAGACAAACATGGGACTGAGAAGTCAACGATGGCCCCCCCAGGGAAAAGGAAATATGTGAGTTGAGCCTTGAGAGAGAAGGAGATCATTTCCCAGGAATGCTAAGGAACCATTTTCTTCCATTTCATTTTACTCTGGACATCTTGACTGAAAATGTAGCCAAAAAAGTCCATTTTGTCTCAATGATGTAGTTTAAAGGACAAAACTGCACTGTTGATTTACTGCACTATTAATGAAGAAAATGCTCAGTTACTTTCACCAAATTTGCTAAACTATAAATGGGCTCGAGGTAATTTTTCATTCTGACATGAGCTCAGTGCATGATTTTTCCCCATTTAACAAACAATGGTCATTTATAACCTATGATTTTTAGTCCATTTTCTGTTGCTTCCTTAAAACTAGGTAGTTTATTTTTAAAAATAATTTATTTCTTCTAGTTATGGAGGCTGAGAAGTCCAAGGCTGAGGGAGCTGTATCTGGTGAGGGCCTTCTTGCTGGTGGGGACACTCTGCAGAGTCCTGAGGTAGAAAAGGGCATCACATATTAAGGAGGCTGAGTTTGCTAGTTCAGGTTTCTCTTCATCTGCTTATAAAGCCACTGGTTCCAAAAGTAAATTAGTTCAACCATTGTGGACTGATAGTGTGGTGATTCCTCAAGGATCTAGAACCAGAAATACCATTTGACCCAGCAATCCCATTACTGGGTATATACTCAAAGAAATATAAATCATTCTATTATAAAGATACATGCACGTGTATGTTTATTGCAGCACTATTCACAATAGCAAAGACATGGAATCAACCCAAATGCCCATCTATGATAGAGGGGATAAAGAAAATGTGGTACCTATACACCATGGAATACTATGCAGCCATAAAAAGGAATGAGATCATGTTCTTTGCAGGGACATAGATGAAGCCGGAAGTCATTATCCTCAGCAAACTAACAAAGGAACAGAAAACCAAATACTGCATGCTCTCACTCATAAGTGGCAGCTGAACAATGAGAACACATGGACACAGGGAGGGGAATAACATGCACCAAGGCTTATTGGGGGGGTGGGGGGAGGGAGGACATCAGGATAAATAGCTAATGCATGCAGGGCTTAATACCTGGGTGATGGGTTGATAGGTGAAGCAAACCACCATGGCACACGTTTACCTATGTAACAAATCTGCACATCCTGCACATGTATCCCAGAACTTAAAATAAGCCATCGGTCCCTCTCTTGTGATAACCCATTAATCCATCAACCCATTAACTCATTAGTCCATGAATGAATTAATCAATTTATAAGCCAAAGCCCTCATGACCCAATCACCTCTAAAAGGCCCCACCTCTCAATACTACCACATTGGGGCTTAAATTTCAACATGAGTTTTGGAGGGGACAAATATTCAACCCATAGCACACAGTAGGACATGGCATCTTTGGCCGAGTGAGGGATGACACTGATGCAGAAGAAGACCTGCAAAGCAATCTAGTAAATGGCATAATGTGGGTGGACAGAGAGAGCCACGGACACAGAGTGTGAACAGCTCACATGGGGGTGTTATAGATGGCTCTAAGAGAAAGTGACTTCTGAGCTCCTTCTCAAAGGCTGAGTGGGAAATCAGCAGGTAAGAGGAGAAGAAGAGCAACGAAGTGAAAGGAGGAGAACGTGCAAGGGCAGAAGGAACAATAAGAGGCCTGGAGTTCTAGCCGCATGGGCAGTGCTGAAGAAGAGAGTGGAGAAGTGGGCCATGGGCTTGAGGATGCTCACGCTCAAAACAGGTTCTATCAGATCCTGTGGTTGCCACTGACAGGACGGGGACTGGTCAAGGTCAAGGGGGCAAAAGATGTGGTGAGACAGGCTGAGAGGGCAGGACTCCGCCTGCACCCAACCCCACTTTCACAGAGCAGGGCTGCTTGAGAATGTCTTACCTACTGAGATTTCATATTACGTTTTACTTGGGATAGAAAAGAAACTGAAGATTTTTTTTTTAAGCAGATGACAATGAAAAGCAGGAAATGACAACTGCAGACTTGTGGTTTAGAAAAACAACTCCAGCATCAGTTAGAAAGTAGATTGGAAGGCATGAAAACCAATAAAGTGCTTACTGCAAGAGAAGATAAAGCATGACATAGGTTAGAAACAAAATGTAGCCATCACAAGATGTTCAAATATACTTTAGGGCATTTTGTAAGGTAGACAAGTTCAGTGATCTCAGATTTTGTTGGGTGAAAGGGGAGAAATGAATAGTACATAAAGCTACTGATTTCACTTAGACCCTGCACCCCTTCCCATAGCAGGAGGGGTGCTACAGTTAGTAACAAAAGTGGCTGTCAGCTGGTTAAGCAGATCCGTTTAGGATTGTCATCATGTCCCTGTCTTCTTTATTGGTGGAATTCAGCTGACAGTTGGTAGTGGTGGGGGTCAGTGATGGGAGGACTTGGGTGGAAACAACAAAAAGTTGTCAAACAAAGATTTGGAATTACAAAAGTGTTTTGTCAGTTCTCTGCCTCAGATGCAAGCAAGGGTCTCCATGCATAACCAGAAGATCGCCTGCTCTGGGGCGTGGCCCCCCAGTCTATTTGAGGCCTCCTGGAGTTCACCCAAGTAGGGGCTAGAGGCTTCCTCCTCCCTGCTCTGTTTGCACGAAGTGGCTCCCCACAGCCTCTCCCACAGTTGTGCTTCTTCTCCCACAGTCCTTTGGCCCTGCTAAGGCTGCTTCCTTCCCCTCCCTTCCCTAAGTTCCATCCCCAACCCCCGACAACGTGATCCATCCTCTCTCCACACAGTCTGTTAAAGACTCTGAGCCCAAGGTGTATTAGTCTGTTTTCACACTGCTGATAAAGACATACCCGAGACTGAGTAATTTATGAAGAAAAATAATTTTAATGGACTCACAGTTCCATGTGGCTAGGGAGGTACCACAATCATGGCAGAAGGCAAAAGGCACATCTGACATGGCAGCAGGCAAGAGAGAATGAGGGCCAAGCAAAAAGAGAAACCCCTTATAAAACCATCAGATATTGTGAGACTTATTTACTACCATAAGAACAGTATGGGGGAAACTGCCCCCCATGATTCAATTATTTCTCACTGGGTCCCTCCCACAACACGTGGAAATTATGGGAGCAATTTGAGATGAAATTTGGGTGGGGACATAGCCAAAGCATATTACAAGGGTTAACATGGAAAAGGAAGGAGAGACCCTTATTGTGGTCAATGCTAAGGTTAGAAAATGTAAAATATAATCTGCAAATCTCTGAGAACTACAAAGATTGAATTTGTGCTAGCCAGTCTCCTGTAGCTTCTAATGCCAAGAGTGGTTGCTTCCCCAACTTCTGTTGTGTTCCTAGATGGAGATGGAAAAATAATGCATACATATATACACAGAGTTTCCCTATTTCCTTAACTTTGAGAGGATCCTAGTTCTCTCAAAGAGAGAAGAGCTGGTATACCCTTCCTACCACATTTACAAACATTGTTTCTAACTTAAATAAATGAGTTACATAATTAAGTGCTAAAATATTAGATTTTTTTAATTCACATGCACATTAGCAAGTAAAACCTAAAATAAAACAAAAGAAACCATGACCCAGAGCACCACTGCAGGAGATTTAGGGAAGGGCAGGAAGCATTTTTGTCCATCCCCAGGGATGAGCATTTTAGCTGCTGTGTCTTCTTCATTGGAAAAAAAGGAAATCTAGAGGTAGTTGCTGGGCAAAGGAAATGGGGAGAGGCACTTTGTTAACTCTAGATTTTTCTACATTGAAGCCTAGAGTCACCATTTCTTTTTCAATAAATTCTACTCCATCCTTCAAACTCTCTCACATTCTCTGTAAATCTTCCCCCTTTTTACACTAATCCATAATGATTTACTGCTCTCTGAACAACCATTACTGTGAAGTGGTTAAGATCAGAGGGCCTTGGGATCAGTCAGGTTTGAGTGTGAATTCTCATTCTGATATAAATTTATTGAGTGAACACTGGCAAGTTATTTAACTTCTCTGAGCCTCGGTCATAAAATCTAATATTTATAGGTCATTGACTTTATGTCAGGCACTGTTTTAAGCACTATACTTACATTATCTCATTTAATATAAACTCTATAAGGTAAGTTCCACGGTGATTATCCTTATTTTATAGACAAGGAAATGGAAACAGAGAGAGGGGCATCTGCGCTCAAGGGGTCACCTGGCTGGTAGCAGACGCTGGCACAATGACTCAATGTCTAGGAAGGAATATTCTCTCTCTGCAGTAGGGAATGCCAAGAGACACCGGGGACCAGGACCTTGCAGTCTGATTCCATAGCCTGGCACCAACCACTGCACTTCACTGCCTCCCCACACCTGTGTACTGAGGCTGTGGGTTATGGTTGGAATTCAAAAGAGCTAAGGATATAAAGTTCTTAGCATGGTATCTAGAATTTAGCAAGCACTGCATAAATGGAAATGATTTTTATTAAGAGTGACTATTTAGATTCTATTAGTACCCACTTATCACTTAGATGCTAACTTGTATTATTAACTCTATCTCTGTCCTATCTTCTTAGCATACTGTAGTATCCCTGAGAGAAGGAGCCAGGTCTCTTCTCTAATTCCCCATAACACAATACTGGAAACCATGTGCTGATGTATATGGATTACAGATAATTCTAGACTGAGGCAGTGTCTGTTGCTGTTTTTTCCCCCAGTTTAATCCAAAGAAATCAGCATTATGGCAGAGTATGTGTTTATACACATTCTTGTCTTGTGTCTTCATAATATGCACTGGCTTGAAAACACATATGAGTCATGGGCCCTGCCATAAACCAGAGATATCCAGAGAGGGAAAGAAATAAAATAAGAAGGAAGGAGGGAGAGAGGGAGGGAAGAAGTGAAGGAGAAAAAGAGAAAGGAAAAGAAATTCTGTCTCCTTTTCAAGAATTTGGAAGCATCCTTAAGACAAGTGGTGACATTCCTCTGTTTGATGACATTCTTCTATTTGTCCCAAACCCTAACTTCCAAGGGTGATTGCAAGTTGCATCAACCACCATGCAGGGAAAACTTTTATCCCTTGTAAAAATCAGGCAAAATCAAATATGTGACAGGTCATGAAATTCCCATCCTGCTCCAACAGAGTCAGTGTTGCTACCTTAGGAATCAGGAATGTAAGTCCTCTGCAAAGTTGTCAAGGAGGTTTCTATTTTTGGCCCTCAGTCTGTTGCAGCAGCAATGAGAAAAAGCAGGCCAGAAGAACACAAAAAATAGTTGAGGGCATCTGTAATATCTGTGAAAGGGACACGGGAGGCACTTGCATATGTCAGATGGAAGGGAAAATTGGAAACAAAAGGAAAATCTGGAGGCAGATGATTTAACATTCATTTATGCATTCATTCAACAAATATTTGCTGAGTGCCTACTTGATGCAAACCCTAGCACAGGGTGAGCTTATGGAGGGTATAAATATTAAAGAGGCCCAGCTCCTGCCTTTACCTTACAGTCAAGTGGGGGAGGTAGAGCATGCACATATTTTTTATTTAGTGGTGTCATGTAAACATTTGAGGTGGGAATCTGTGAGTTAAAAGGCTGTATTAGCCATGCTTCTGAGAGTGAAGACACAAACGAACCTGGCCCGCAGCATCATCTGCCAGCACGAGGCACCACCTTCCTGCTTTACCATAAACCAACAGCACCAGGTCCTGTGCCGCGGGCCCAGACTCAGGCAGCGCAGTTACGGGAGCCTCTCGCCTTCAGGGGTAGCAATGGCTCCATGATTTACACTGAAAAACCTGCATTCAGTGGCAGAGGCTTCCCTACTCCAAGATAGATGGCTTCAGAATTTCGGGGAAGTGGTGTTCTGTGGTGGTCAAGACAAAGGCTTTGGAAGCACAGTCATGGGTTTGCTTCCCAACCTTGCCTGTTGGTTCCTTGACAAATGAACCTCTGTTTCCTCCTCTGTAAAATGTCAGTTGAGATTCTCTGAAATAATATTGCAAAGTGCCCATTACAAAGGGCTCAAAAGAAAGATCTTAAAGTTGTCACAGTCATCTTGTGGTCAAAGAGCCCTGCACTACTATCCCAGGTCCTAGTCCTGCAGCTGACTCCGATCTTCTTTCTGTCTTGTGTGATGCTAGGTCAACTATTTCATTGTTCTATTATTCTCCTTTTTTAAACTGTTGTGGTAAAATAGACATAACATACATTTTACCATTTTACCATTTTTAAGTTCATTAAGTACATTTACATTGCTGTACAACCATCACTACCATCCATCTTCAGAACTTTTACATTTTCCAAACTGAAACTGTGCCCATTCATCAATTCCCCATTTTTCCCTCCCTCAGCCTGCGGCAACCACCATTCTACTTTCTGTCTCTATGAATTTGACTACTCTGGGTTCTCATTTAAGTGGATTCATGCAATATTTGTCTCTTTGTACCGGTCTTATTTCACTTGGATAATGTCTCCAAGGTTCATCCATGTTGTAACATGTATCATAATTTCATTACTTTTTAAAGCTGAATAATATTTCATTGTATGTATATATCATATTTTGTTTATCCATTCACCTGTGGGCATTTGGGTTATTTCCACCTTTTGGCTATTGTGAATAATGCTGTCAGAACATGGATGTAGAAATATCTGTTCAGCTCTTTCTCACTTAAAAAAAAAAGTTTTAAAAATATTAATACTGTAACTTCTTATCCGTCTGTGTGACAACATAAGAATTGATAAAGTAATTCCTTAAAGTATCTGTAGTCATAGTAGGAGTGTCAGGGAAGCTAATTAATTTTGGTCCTATAGTTTTTCCACAAATCTTTGTTACCAAAAAGTAAGCACCCTTATAACCAACATAAGTCTTATCCATACAGGTTGGCTGTGTTTAAAACTAAATTATTAAATGTACAAACATTAGAAAATATACTATTGTTGAACTTTTAAAAACCATTCTATGTTTCCTGTAAGGAAATAGGGCATATATAGAAACCTTATACTTTGATGTAACCATAGAGAACAGGGATTGGCTAATAATAGCCCATAGGCCAAAATCCAGCCCACCACTGCTATTTACAACGTGCAAACTAAGAAGGTATTTTACACATTTTCAATGGTTGAAAAAAATAATGAGAACAATACTTCACGAGATATGAAAATTGTACTAAATTCAAATTTCAGCACGTGCAAATAAAGCTTTTTTGGAACCCAGCCATGCCAATTCATTTTTATATTGTCTATGGCTGCTTTCAAGCTACAATGGCAGAGCTGAGTAGTTGTTACAGAGACCATATGGCCCACAAACCCTACGTATTTATGATCTGGCTCTTTATAAGAAAAAAAATGTGCAACTGCTGATATAAATCATTGATCTAATCTCACTTCATAATTTGCAGTGGAGAAAACTAGGGCCCACTTTTCTGAAGTGTCACGTCACACCAGAGATTAGGAATCTAAGAGTGGCCAAAAGCAATTCAGCTATCCTGAGTCCCCACCTTGCGTCCCTAAACCAGGTTCCAGTGTATTCCTGGGATACAGCATAGCAGCTTATCTTACAGCTATAGATCACAGACCGAAGCCACCATTTGTTCATGTTAATAATGAAGAAAGTCTGGTGCTGTTAATTTCCTCTGCTGGAAATAAAGAGACATATGCTTACTTTGGGAGGGCCTTTGGCAGGGTTGTATTGGTTCATATCTCTATGTGCTGACCTTTGCCTATAATTTTTAAGAACGGTGCCATATGATGAAACACTCCTCTGTTGCTTTCAGGATAGAGTCTAAAACAGCCATCCCCAACCTTTTGGCACCAGGGACTAGTTTCGTGGAAGATAATTTTTCCATGGACTGGGGTAAGGAGTGATTTTGGGATGATTCAAGTGCATTACATTTATTGTGCACTTTATTCCTATTATCATTAGATTGTAATATGTAATGAAATAATTACACAACTCACCATAATGTAGACTTGGTGGGAGCCCTGAGCTTGTTTTCCTACAACTAGGCAGTCCCATCTAGGGGTGATGGGAGACAGTGACAGATTATCAGGCATTAGATTCTCATAAGGAACACACAACTTAGATCCCTCGCATGCGCAGCTCACAGTAGGATTTTTGTTCCTGTGAGAATCTAATGACGCCACTGATCTAAGAGGAGGCAGAGCTTAGGCAGTAATGCAAGTGATGGGGAGTGGCTGTAAATACAGATGAAGCTTCACTCACTCGCCCCCTGCTCCCCGCTCACCTCCTGCTGGGCCGCCCAGTTCCTAACAAGCCACTGACGGGTACCAGGGAGCACCCCTGATCTAAATGACTTAATATGTCATAAGGCTTTTCTTGACATGGCCCCAACTCACCTCCTCAGTTTTCTCTCCCCATCCTTCCCTTCCTCCCTTCTCTCTTTGTCCTCCACACTCACAGGAATGTCACAGACTCTCAGGACCCCCTGCAGACACATCTCACCTCTCAGTCTTTCTTCATGTTGCGCCTCCACTAGGAAAACATTTCTTCTCCTCATCTATCTAACCAAATCCTTTTCATCCTCCTAAATGCCTTTTGCTTTGTGTGGCCTCACCAATTCTACTACAGACAGAAGTAATAACTCCCTACTCTGCACACTTTGGACAGACTGTCAACCATCTCAGTTATGAACTTGTATTAGTGTTTTCTGTTTACATGTCTATCTTTCCGCTAGATGTTGGACAGAAGAAAGGCTGGAAGGAAAGAAAGAAATTCAACTGAATAATAGATCCTTAGCCACCACTGGCCTTGTTATATATCATGATGTATAACTTCTGCACAAGTTTCACTGAACTGTAACACTGAGGTCAAAGAGAATAGAAGACAAATGTAAAATTGTAGACAGAGTAAGAGAAATTTCGTTCCTTTATTTTTTTTCTTTCTCTCAATTCAAGACTCAAGAAACATTTACTGAACATCTACAATGGCATCAGAAACAAAGCATAATAAAACCACTTTCTTGATCTCCAAGAGCTAAGGGTCTCGAAAAGGCAAATTTGGGCCTAAACTGAAAAAAGGGATCATCCACTAAAACAGTGTTTTTAAAACTTAGGGTCACAGTTCATTAATGAGTGTGAAATTCATTTAGTGGGTAATAGCTACCATTATTTACAAATATAATAAAATACAAGAGAAGCTATGGAATGCAAGGTACACAGTGTAAGTATTGTTTCATAAAGCATTTTTAATGTTATGTATGTGTAGTTTGTGTGTGTGTGTCCTGGATTGTAATGAAAAATGTATTTCTCACTGTGGATTATAGTCAAATCATTTGAAAAACATTGTATTACAACATTTGAATTTAATATAAGAATAGAGAAGTTACTGTTTATAAATTTTAGATCAAAAGGGATGGTCCATAGATATATCCACAGCTCTTAATTCAGAGAAACATGACTCAATGCTACTTGTATGGTTTTGAAAACATGTCCAAAAATGTTTTGACATTGTTTCCACTGAGAATTAGGATCTATGTTCCTTTTCCTTAAATCTGGGTGGGCTCTGTGACTGCTTTCACCTATGGTGTACCATGGAGATGACACAGTGGGACTTTCAAGGCTAGGTCATAAAAGGTCATAGAGCTTCCATCTTGTTTGGTGGATTCTTGGGCCATCATGTAATTCAACTACTTAGAGTTCTCTAAGCCAGAGTGGGCACATGCAGGCCCTTCTATTGGCAGTCCCACTTGAGCCAAGTTTTCTAGCCATCTCCAACAACATATGAGTGAAGCCATCTGGGGCCCTTAAAACCAGTCATTCTTCAGCCACATGCTGCCAAGTGAACCCATTAATGCCATATGGAACATAAGAATCACCCAGCCAAACACTGCCCAAATTCCTGACCAATAAAATGTTGAAATGTAATAAAAACTGTTTTTGTTTTAAGCCACAAAGTAGCAGTTGTTTGTTGCAAAGCAATATATGCCGAGAACACCCTCTAAGAGAGTTTTTAAGCTTATGGGCACAATCCGTGAAAGGGACATGAAGTCAGCTTACTGGATAATGACCAGAATTTGTTTTAACTAATGAAATAGGAAAGAATAAAATAAAAAATACCAGAATACATGGTACACAGCAAAGGTATTGTTGTAAGACACATTTCCAGTTATATATACATATGTATGTGTACCTTGGGTTCCAATGTAGTTTTCACTGTGAATTGTAATCAAAATCATTTAAGAAACATTGTATTAAAACATCTAAATTTATCATGAGAATATCCAGGAAATTGTTTATAAAGATTAGCAGACAATACATCAAAGGGGAAGGTCTATAGACATTTCCTAAGCTTTTAATTCACAGAGACATGAATCAATGCCATTTGCTCATCATAATTCATAGAAGCTTGTACTATCTCCATGTGTTCTTATAGCAATTTTTGCCATAATGTTTAGATATGGTAACTAGAATATCTGAGTCATAGTGCTTTACACTAATATGTATAAAACATTATGTTTTGAAAATAAAATATTTTCTACTATTTATTCTGACAGAGCATTCTAAAAACTAGAATAATGAACTCAGAGCCTCATTTTTATTGGTTCCTGCCCAATAACAAATTCTTGACCGGATTGAACTTCACATTTGAATTCTCTTCACTCTTGTTGGACTGATAAGACTTCAATGTCGATGCTTATCAACTCAACTAACAAAAAGCTTCCTAAAGATGTGATGGCACACATATGAGATTACAGGGAGTTTATTTTTTGGTGTGAATTAAAGATTTGTGTCTTATTGTTTTATAATAAGTTACTATAACAACTGTAAGGGAAAGCCAAGCAGCATGTTCAATAGGCTGGATCATTTCTACCATCATTTCATTATCATCCTGTTGATTTTCTTTCTCTTCCCTAGTATGCACCTGGCAGAGGGACAATAGAATTTCCACCAGGTGACCTTTGGAATAGCATTGCATAGTTTAGCACTCCTGAAATTTTCTCTAAAGATAATTGTAGAAGTCAAAAAACTGGCTTTCTATCAGAAAATCTGGTTCCAAGTCTTTATTTCTCTCATTGACTGTGATTTTCATCAAGTCAACCTCTCTTTGGGCTATTACCTTACAGGTAAAACAGTAATAGCAATTCACACCCTTCAGGGTTTTTTTTTTTTTTTTTTTTTTTTTGAGAGAGAGAAATTATGTGATATTTTTCAAAGTTGGGCATGCCAGTTAGTAGTATGACACTTGGAGGGTATTTCAACCCAAACATAACCCAGCAGATGCTCATCAGGTACCTTTGAAGCCACACTGTGTGGTGAGCAATGAATAGAACAGGCACCATCCCCACCCTTGCAGAGCTCATGCCCAACTCTGAGAGAGAGGGTAAAGAAATAAATATATCAGTAAAATTGTACTGAGTGCTACAAAGCAGGGGTCCCCAACCCCTAGGCTGTGGACTGGTACCAGTCTGTGGCCTGTTGGAAACTGGGCCACATAGCAGGAGGTGAGCAGCAGGGGCAAGCATTACCACCTGAGCTCCACCTCCTGCCAGGTCAGCAGCAGCATTAGATTCTCATAGGAGCACAAACCCTACTGTGAACTGCACATGTGAGGGAGCTAGGCTGCACGCTCCATATGAGAATCTAATGCCTGATGATCTAAGGTGGAACAGTTTCATCCCAAAACCAACCCCCCCACTCCCTCATCCATGGAAAAATTGTCTTCCATGAAACTGGTCCCTGGTGCCAAAAAGGTTGAGGACCGCTGCTATAAAGGAATGAACAAGTTGTCCAGAGAGACAAAATGCCTCTGAGGAGGTGGCATGTAGGTTTAGTTCCCACAGACTGAAGCCAATGATTAAAAAGTAATCAAAGCCAGACTCCAGTGAGACCCAGAAAACATTCTGCTCCTGGGACAGGTGAGGTGTTTGATCTCCTCATCTAGGCCACATACAGAGGAAGGGTTTATACAACACACTTGACCTTTCTAGGTGGGACCTGGGGGAAGGGAGATGTATTTAAAACCCTGAAACTTCATGAAGCATGCCACCCATGCATGACATTATTTAGGAATCATGTGTGAAGAAGGACTGTATACATATTCTGTGATAAAGATATTGAGAGTACCAAATCTGTCTTCCTGGGGCAACCCCAAGCCATACCTCTGAGACCATGGCATGAGACTTTGCAGCTTCATTCCTTCATTCCATAAACCTTTATTTTGGGCCACACGCTATACATGCCCTGGCACAGAGCTAGTCCCTGGAGAAAGATAAAGGCACAGTCCCTGTCTTCTGGAGGCTGAGATCCTAGCCCTGAATGTACAAGTAAACAGAAACGCCCAGTGGAACACATCACAATGTAATGGAAGAAGTCAGCTCCAAGTGTGATCAAGGAGGGGAGTCACTCAAACTAGTGGGGACTGAAGTTGCAGAGAGGCTTCCAGACCAGACATGCTATAACAGTACAAGGCATGAGAGAGCACACCTGGTCAGTACATTACAGGTGGTTCCATACAGATGGAGCAGGACCTCTGCATTTTGGAAAACAAAGCAGAAAAATGGGTTGGTAGAGGAGGCTGAAGAGATGGGCCTCCAATTTCCTTCTAAGGATCTGAGATTATTCCCTAAAGGTTATGAATTACTAATAAATGAGTTTTTTAAATTTGTTTGTAGAGATAGGGTCTCGCTTTGTTGCTCAGGCTGGTCTCAAACTCGTAGTTTCATATGATCCTCCCGCCTTGGTCTCCTAAAGTGTTGGGATTACAGGCATGAGCCACTGTACCCAGCCTAATAAGTGGTTTTAAACAGGTAAGTGGTGCACCTCTTTTGCACCTCTGAGAAAATGTTACCATATTTTATATTTCATTTTTAGAATTTTACATACCAAAAAATGTATAAATCATAAGCTCAATGAATTAAAAATTATATTTTAGGGGAGATTTTGCTATTCTATAGTAATTTACAGTCAGATGGCTACTTTCTCATATTTTGGTGCAACAGGTGTTCATTTCTTTCTGTGAAGGCAAATTTATACTAAAGTTTCAACTAAAAATGAAGACATTATTCTGGCCTAAACAATGATAGAACAGTGTTAAATTACAACAAGTTGTACATCCAAGGGCTGTAAAGGAATTCCAGTAAGCAAGGAGGAATTTCCATTCCTAGGTGGGGTGTGGGTGTAGGTTCATTTTGGCAAGGGGTTTGGGGCACTCTGTGTAATGAGTGTGGGTAGGAAGGTATTTCAGGACGTGTATAGAAGGGAGGTCATCAAGGCAGAGAAGCCCACAAGAGGCAGGCTTGAAACGGATTACCTTGAGGACTTGGCACCCCTCTGGAAACCCGGCCCTCTTTGCTTCCATTCATTCTACTTCCCAGCAGCAGAAGTTAATGGACTCTACCAGGTTGGGGACCTAGTGTTGCTTTGCCTTGGCCTCTGCCTCTTCCGCCATCACCAAGCAACCCATTTTGCTCTAGGTATTTTTCCACTGCCTTTTAGGTTTGCCAATAAGTTCTGCTCACTTCGGACTCTAATTCATAACCTCGCTCTCATGGCTTCTGCAGCCTCATGATGTTTCTCTGCACATAAGCCTCGAGTCCTGCTACCATCTGCTACTGCTGCTGCTGCAAAAGACAGTGTCTGATGGGAGTGGTTTGTTCACTATCATTAACCTTGCTAGGCAGAGCCCTGTGCCAGGCCACCTCGCTAACTGCAGGCCAGCCTGCATTCTGGCCACCCTGGTGTCTCTCCTGGTCCAACACCTGGGCCAGAGCAACAGGATAGGTGAGGCAGAATACAGAGTTCCCCTACACAGAAAAAGACATGGGCTGCTCCCTAGACAGAGACTGTGAGCTTGAAGCTTTTCCTCCAAGTTGGGAATTGAGGCAGACACTATATTCATTTGTTTGCTACAATGGCAACCACCTACTTTAAAGGAGTTCTCTAGCAGCTCTAGAGCCCAAAACACACAGTGGGCTCTGTGGGAAGTCAGTGTAGACCAGAGGACTGCTTCAAAGGAAGGAGTAGAATGAATCTCATTACTGAACTTTTGCCCCTTTACAAGGCTTTGTCCACACAGCATCCCGAGTGAACCTTTAAAACAATGTGAATTGGATCATGTTTCTCCCCTGTGCAAAGCTTTCTCACTGTACTCTGAACACAAACTACCCTCCCCCACAGGGCCAATAGGCACTGCCTGATCAGACCCCTGCCTCCTGTTCAAGGTCAGCCTGGAATTCTTTCCCACTCTCCCTCCAAGCTTTAGCCATACTCACCTTCCTTCTGTTACTCAAACACTATAGCTCTTTTCTCAGCTCAGCTTATTGGCACTTGCTGTTCCTACCGCCTAGAACTCTCATCCTCCAGCTCCCATGTGATTGGACTTCTTCTCATCCTTTAAGCCTCATCCTTGAATGTCACTTTCCCAAAGAGATCTGCCCTGGCCTACCAAATCAGAAACTCTGGAGATAGGCCCAGCACACACTGAACTTGGAGAACCACCAGCCAAGAGAGCATATGGAAAGAATGACAGTATCAGCCAAGGAGATTCTGAGTTCTAAGGGACTTATGCATCACTGCAGATTTATTCAGATAAATAAATAACCTGTGTGTACATTTATGCATTGTTTAAGGGATAAGAGCTATAAAGAAAATAGAATAAAGCAAGGACTAGTGATGATAGTGTGCCATGAGCCTGAAGGTTCACAAAATTTCATTCATCTATTCATTCAACAGGGCTGTGGCAGCAGCCAGGTGCAACTGGGATTGGGTAGTCAGGGAAGGCAGCCTTCATTCCTGAATCTGCCTTGAGTTGGCACATGAATCAGAGGTGCCAGAGGATCTGGGGGAAGGGGGTTCAGGCAATGTCCTTGAAGCAGAAAAGAGTTTGGTGTGTTTGAAAAACGAAAAGGAGAGCAGCATGCTTAGAGCACAGGAGCCAGGCACGGGTGAGGAGAGAAAGATGAGTGCACAGAGCTAGGCACAGTCTAGAGAACAGGCCTGGCCATGGTGAATGGTTTGGATTTCAATCCCTTGCCATGGGCAGTCCCCAGAGTATTTTAAGCAGCCAGGTGGCATGAAGGGATTCTCAGTTTTGAAAGTTCACTTTGAGTGCTGCGTGGAGAATGGATCATGAGGGAAGGAGTGTAACTGAGAATCATGTAACATACTTTGGAGACTAGCAGCATGCCCAGCACTGCATCAAACCCTTTACAAGCATTAACTCACCAAATTCTATAACACCCCATGATGTAGATACTACTACTCACCCTGCTTTATGAGTGAGACAACTGAGGCACAGAAAGGTCAGTAACATTTCTTAGGTCACACAGTTGGTAAGTAGGAGCCAGGACTTAAATCCAGGCAGCATGAATTCAGAGGCTGAGTTCATAACCACCATGCTAAATAAAATAGGCATACTCTTCCTGCCTCCCTATGACAAAGGACAGCTTTGAGCTTAAAATAGTGTGCTCTAGTAAAGTGCTTTGAATATTAAGCAGGGTACTGTGTGAATTTAACAATGCCATTATATAGTATAAATATAACTCATTAAATAACATATAATGAATTGGCTCCTAATCTTCTGTATATTGTGGTTAAAAGCAACACTAACATTTGCAGCAAGGAAAACAATTAGCACATTCATTAAGTAGAGTCCTGCTCACACTTCACTCATTAACTTTAATCATCTATGAAATGTGTGAACTAAGCTAACCTGTCACCACCGGAGTCATCAGTGACTGTCAGTAAATGATAATGCTTTAATTTTTTTTTTTTTTTTTTTTTCTGAGATGGAGTCTCACCCTAGCACCCAGGCTGGAGTGCAGTGCCGCGATGTTGGCTCACTGCAACCTCTGCCTCCAGGGTTCAAGCGATTCTCCTGCCTCAGCCTCCCGAGTAGCTGGGGTTACAGGCATGCACCACCACGCCCAGCTAATTTTTGTATTTTTAGTAGAGACGGGGTTTCACCATATTGGCCAGGCTGGTCTCTAACTCCTGACCTCGTGATCCACCTGCCTCGGCGTCCCAAAGTGCTGGGATTACAGGCGTGAGCCACCGTACCTGGCCAATGCTTTAATTTTTGGGGTATGTTTTAATTTTATAGACTAACAACAACTTAGTCACTATTTTCCCCTAATGGTACATATAATCAAGATATTGAATATTATTTAAGCTAAAGATGTATTATTCTTCACAACAGCATCATAACTAGATCCTAATTAATAGTTGCATTTATTTTCCTTCACTTTCCCAAATTTTATAACTCCCATTTGGCTTTTAATCAGCAACACACATTCTGAAATGGAACATATGGCTATTTCTCATTTGGTATAGTTCCTCTATATGTCAATACAGAGAATTCCATGTTTCACACTGGATAACAAGGAACATTTAGAAGAGTGGTTCTTAATCTTTTGGGGTATCACAGACACCTTTGAGAACCTGAGCATAGTATGGCTCTTCTCCCCTGCCCCCCAAAATATGTATGTATGTATATACAATTTAAAGAGGGTCAGAAAACTCCGAAGTGCATCCTGTGGTCACTACAAATCCCAGGTTAAGAAATTGCATTTTAATTTAATTTGGCTATTTAGAAGCAACTAATGTTTACCTCTCTAGTTAGTGATAAAACCTCTGCTTTAAAGAGGAATGCTGGCTAATACAGAAGGAAGAGTAGAAGTAGAAAACTCACCAATGGGAAAAGTTTAATATGGACTTGATATTGGATGGTTTTTGGAATATCATTAATACTTTCTTAGGTATATAATAGCATTGTGTTTATATAGAAAAACGTCATTTTTAGGAGATGCATGTTAAAGTATTTAAGGATGAAAGGTCATAATAATGCAACTTATGTTGAAAAGGTTCAACAAAATAGATGATTGATAAATACTAGAATAGGAGAGAGATGAAGTACATAGGGGAAAATACTAATACCTTAAATGGTTTCTATAGGTGGTGGGTATATGGTTTCTATTTTACTGTTCTTGCAAATTTTCTTACTGTTTGAAAATTGCTATAATAAATATTTGGAGGGGAAACATCCTTGTTTTTGATCATTTGAGGTATTGGGCAAGAAAGCATTAATGTAATTTTGAGGTCTAGTGGGGAAAAGTAGGGTTCACATGGATATTCTAAAATAGAAGATGATGTTAGAAGATTTTAATGGAAAAGAAGCTTCAGTGTTGTTCTAGAAATAAGATTAGGGAAGAAGTCAATAAAAAGGGAATACTTCAAGTGAGAATCATGAATTATCCCAACCCACATTAATTCAAGTAAACTGAAAATTCTTTACAGGTTTAGTTGATTTAATCTTTTCTATGTGTAGCTATAGCTATTAACCATTATCACTAGATTATATATTTCTTGAAGAATCTTGTTAAAAATATAGATCTGGTTAATAGTATTTGAGGATATACCAGTCAAGGCAGATGGATTGATATAGAACGAGGCCCTCTCACTGCAAACACAGAATCACTGCATGAAAATAATTTTAATGCATTGCCAGGATATATAAGAAAAATTGAATAAATTTAAATATATAAGAAAAATTGAATAAATTTTGGTGGGGTGGGGTTACTAAATATTGTAAAGATATCAATTCTCTCTAAATCTATAGATTTGATGCAATTCCAGTTAAAATCTTAACCAGATTTTTTATAAATCTTGATAAGCTAATTCTAAAATTTGTACTGAAGACCAAGATTGCCAAAAATAGAAACAAAAACTTCTACATAATGAGGAGAAAAAAATTGGGTGACTCATCCTAGCAGATACTAAGCCCCATTTACAAAAATAGCTTAATAGCATGATATTGGTGTGGGATAAATAAATAAACCAATAAAACAAAATAGAGTCCAGAAACTGGCCCACACACATATATGTAAAATTAATATGTGATAAAAGGGATTTTGCATATTAGTAAGAGAAAAATGGACTTTTGAAGAAATAGTGCTTGGACAATAGGCTAGGTATATTGAAAATATAGAACTAGATCCCTTAAAATACAACCAAAAATATATTTCGATTCAGGTTAAAGTTTCAAATAGAACTTTTCTTTATAGCCTTAGGTTAGACAGTAATTTTCTTCAATATGACTTTTAAAGAACCAAAAAAAGAAAATACTGACATTATTTAACAGGTGAAAACAATCCACCAATTGGTAGATGATATTTGCAATTCATATAATAAACAGAGGATTAGTATGTGGAATATTTAGAAGCTCCTAAAAGAAAACAAGACCAATAACTTAATAGGCAAAAGACATAAATACAGCTATGCAGGAGGCTGAGGTGGGAGAATTACCTGAGTCCAGGAGTTCAAGACCAGCCTGAACAACATAGCAAAATCCTATTTGTAAAATAAAAAAGTTTAAAATTATCTGGAGGTGGTGGCATGGGCCTGTAATCCTAGCTACTCAGGAGTCTGAGTGAGGAGAATTGCTTGAGGTGAGGAGTTGGAGGCTGCAGTGAGCTATGATCACACCACTGCACTCCAGCCTGTGTGACAGAGGGAGACTCCATCTCTAAAAAAATTAAAACAATAAATAAATAAGGCCTAAGCAAGCATTTCACCAAAAAATAAACACAAATAGCTGATAAAAATATGAAATGTTGCCCCCTTATTATAAATTTAGGAAATGCACGTTAAAATCAAAAAAGATACCATTTAGACTCACCAGATTGACAGAAATTATAAAGACTACAGAGTCCCATGGATGTGGAGCATCAGGAACAGTTACACACAGCTGACAAAAATGTATATTAGCTCATCTGCATTTTCCAATAAAGTAAAAAATGCATATACTCTGTAGCCCAGCAGTTTAATTCCAAGCATATACCATGAGGAAAAGCTTTTCCATGTGCACCAAAAGGTGCATGCAACAATGTACATAATAATGCTGTTCGTAATAGAAAACCGGAAACAACCTAAATAATCAACATGACACTAAAGTATGTTAAATTCACCCAATGGAATGCTATACAACCGTGAAAAATGAATGAATCAATCGAACTACAGCTTCACACTTCAACATACATGGATCCTGTAAACACGGTATGCAGTGGGATTCCATTTTATAAAGTATACAGACATGCAAAACTCAACCATATATTTTTTAGTGATGCATGCATATGGAGTCAAATTATAAAGAAATGCAAAGGAACGATAAACTCAAAAATCAGTATAGTGGTGACTTCTATGGTTAAATGAATTTTCAATTTAATTTTTTAAGCCAGATTGTGAGATATGGTATTTATTTTATTGTTATTCTAAGTCACTTCATATCAGGGTTCTCAAACTCAAATAAATATTTGCTGTGGGTGGCAGCTGAGGCCAGGAGCCTGAGGCTGCAGTGAGCTTAGATCACACCACTGCACTCCAGTCTGTACAACAGAAGGAGACCCCATCTCTAAAAAATAATTAAAATAAAAAATAAATAAGTAAGGCATAAGCAAGCAATTGTGCAATTGTAGGATGGCCTCTACTGATTGAATGACAGTAGCACCATCCTCCCAGTTGTGACATCCAAAACTGTCCACAGACATTGCCAAATGTACCCTACGAGACAAAAATCACCCCCAATTAAGAACCACTGCCCTACACACATATCTTTCATATATATTCTTTTGCTGTGTATGAAATTACATTTTTAATCATTTAAAAAAATTTAAAGCTTTCATGATCTAACTCATACAACTAGCTTATTGACTAAATTAGACTTGATAGGACAGGCAGAAATATTCTATTCTTTCTCCATTGTTTTTTCAACTCACTATGTGAACTTGATCATCTTTTCCTGTCTCTAAATGATACCTCAGACAGGTCCTATGGCTTTTTCAATCTACAAAAAATGGTACTTTAATATGGTTAAACCTAATAAATGGAGGAGATTTATCATGCTTTTGGATAGAAGACTCAGTATAATGAAGATGTCATTTTTTCTCAACTTAAAGCACAGATTTAATAAAATTCTAATCATAGTCTCAGCAGCAATTTTGTTAACCTTGATAATTATTCAAAAATCCATTTGGAAAGATAAAAAGACAAAAAAAGACAAGAAAGAGAAGGAGGATAGAGACTTGCCCTATGAGAAAGCAAGACTTTATACAAAAGCCAAAATAATTAAGATAATGCAGTAATGGTATTTGGATAGACAAATGAACCAGTGGAAGAAAATAGAGAGCCCACAGTCAGAACCATGGCATATTCATCAAGGTAAGCTACAGTAACACATTAGTCCTGACATCTCAGAGGTTTAGCACTTCAGAGTTAACTTCTTACTCACGCAGGACCTGCTGTTAGTACAGATGACCACAAGGTGATGTGACAATCCAGGTAGCTCTATCTTGTGTGGGCTCCCTCATTCCAACATATATTCTTCACGCTTTCTAACACAGGAGAAGAGGAAAACTGAAAGATAGAACAAGGATGTTTCACAGTCTTATCCCAGAATTACACACATCATTTCCGCTCACAAGCCATTGGTCATTTCTAGGTACATGGTCCTGGTGAAGAGCTGAGAAGTAGTCTTTGGGATATCCAGGAAGACAGAATAGCCAGATATTGGTGAGCACTAGTAATGTCCTCCTTACGTGACAGCTTGATATATGAAAGAGATGACATTACAGATCATTAAGAAAAGACTGGGTATTCAAAAACTGGTAATGGTTAATTATTTTTCATATAGAAAAAAAGCATTAAATTAAATTCTTAACTCCCAGTATGGTCAAACATTCCAAACGGATTAAGTATTTAAATAAGAAATACAAAATTTTAATATTTTTAGTAGAAATTAGAGGTTACAATCTCTACTAAATCTTAGAAGAAAAGATTTCACAAGACAAAAACACCAATTACAAAGGAAAGGTTTGATTAAGTTGACTACAAACAAAAGAGAGCTTAATGTTTAAAAATAAAACATACACTTGAAGAAGATATTTGCATTATATAACAACAACAACAGCAGATTGTATTTGAAAACTTAAATAGCTCCCTCAAATGAATAAGAAAAAGAAATTTAAAAATACAAAAAAATGGACATATGAATAGGTAATTTCACTTTCAGGTACAAAGATGTTTATTGAAACTTTGTTAGTAGTAGAGAAAAATTAGAAACAATTAAAATGTTCGAGAATAGAGAAATGGATAGATGGATATATTGTGGTATATCTCAAACAACGGAATTCCAAACCAGAGTTAAATAAGACTTATTTAACCAGACAAAAAGCACATGATCAAGATGCACTTGTATTGATGTGGATAGGAATTAGAAAACATAACGTTTAATAAAAAAGCAGGTTGTAGAATATGTATAGGAATGATGCTATTTATGTATATTTTTATTCCATATGCTGTTTATGCATACACATGCTTGAAGTCAAATATAAAATCATGGAAAGGAAGGATATACATCAACTTTGAGATAAAAGTTGCTCTTGAGGGGAGAGAAAAATGAGCTTAGGAAAGTCCTTCCTGGATTCCCTATTCATTAAATTGTGCTGGGATAACTGGCTAGCCATATGCAGAAGATTGAAACTGGACCCCTTCCTTACACCATATACAAAAACTAACTCAAGATGGATTAAGACTTAAATGTAAAATGCAAAACTACAAAAACCCCGGAAGACAACCTAGGCAATACCATTCAGGACAGGCATGGGCAAAGATTTCATGATGAAGATGTCAAAAGCAATCACAACAAAAGCAAAAATTGACAAATGGGATCTTAAACTTAAGAGCTTCTGCACAGCAAAAGAAACTATCAAGGGAGTAAACAGATAACCTACAAAATGGGAGAAAATATTCGCAAATTATGCATCAGACAACAGTCTAATATCCAGCATTTATAAGGAACTTAAACAAAATCTACAAGAAAAAAAATAAACAGCCCTATTAAAAAGTGGGCAAAGACACGAACAGACATTTTTCAAAAGACATATATGCAGACGACAAGCATACGAAGAAAAGGCTCAACATCATTGACCATTAGAGAAATGCAAATCAAAACCAACATGAGATACCATCTCACACCATAAAGCATGGCTATTATTACAAAGTCAAAAAATAACAGAATAAGAGATGCTGGCAAGGTTGCAGAGAAAAGGGAATGTTTATGCACTGTTGGTGGGAGGGTAAATCACTTTCCACAGCCATTGTGGAAAGCAGTGTGGTAATTTCTCAAAGAGCTGAAAATGGAACTACCATTATATACCCAAAGGAATAGAAATCATTCTACCGTAGATACATGCACGCATATGTTCATTGCAGCACTACTCACAATAGCAAACACATGGAATCAACCTAAATGCCCACCAATAGTAGGCTGGATAAACAAAATGTGGTACATATACACCATGGAATACTATGCAGCCCTAAAAAAGAATGAGATCATGTCCTCTGCAGGAACATGGATGGAACAGGAGGCCATCATCCTAAGCGAAGTAGCACAGAAACAGAAAACCAAATACCACATGTTCTCACTTATAAGTGGGAGCTAAATGATGAGAACACATGGACACAAAGAAGGGAACAACAGACACTGAAGATTACTTGAGGGTGGAGTGTAGATGGAGGGAGAGAATCAGAAAAAATAACTCTTGGGTACTAGGCTTAGTACCTGAGTAATGAAATAATCGGTACAACAAACCCCCATGACACGTGTTTACCTAAATAACACACCTGCACATGTACCCCTGAAACTAAAATAAAAATTCAAAAAACAAAAGAAAAAAAAAGAAAAGTCCTTCCAAACTTTACCTAGAGTGTTTTGTTCTTCCCACTGTCCCCAATCCCCACCCCAAGATCTGAAGCAAATGTGGCAAAACATTAGCATTTATTAAATCTTGGTGGTTAGTAACTATGTTTGTTTTATATCGTTCTTTATACTTCTCTAATGTGAAATAAAAGGAAGCAGAAAGTAGTGGAAGATCTGATTTATTAAAATATATAAGCTGCTGTTTGATCAAATCAGAGATCCTAAATTAAGACTAATGTGCAGTCACTATATTTATCAGTAACATGATCTATGGGAGATAGATCTCCCAAACCAAATTGGAAGTTAAGAAGCTGACTTTATTCCTCTTAGAGCAGGTCTTAGTTTTCTCATTGGCTTCCTTTTATGGATACAGCAAACATTGCATTGTTCGTAAGAACAGATTCTGCCTGGGCACTGGAAACCTTCAGAGGTGCATTTATGTTTGCAGGTCACTGGAATACAATTCCATCCAGAGGAGCAATAATTTAAATAAAGTACCCTGATGACCTATGCAGAGTAAGCAATCTCACAAATAGCCCTATTTTATGGTTACTAATATGCATGGGTCATGTTACTGGTAATATGATGTTTTAAATTCTGAGAGAAAAAATAATTATAAAATACTATTTGACATACTTTTTTTTCTATTTTTGGAGATCAATGGCATTTTAATAGCTGCCATCATTCTAGCCACAATATAAAGTCATCCATATATCATTTCTGTTTATGAGGCTCTCCGGACATCTGTTTCTTACATTAGGTAATTAGTTTAGACTAAGTTATGGTGAATGACATATACTCAGTTGTCCATCTGCCTCCATAATACAGCTCACTTTCAAGAGCCATGCTCTTGTTCTGTCATACCATCAGTATTCACTACATAGATATATGACCCAAAGTTCCACTTCCACTCACTGATCATTTGTATCTTAACTCTTTCCAATAAGATTTACAGGGCAGACCCACAACTAACACAAGAGAGATTTTGTTTTAGAGAGATTTAGTAGATGTGATCAAATGCCTTTAAAGACAGACTAGCCAAATGGTTACAAATGGATGTTTTTATATGTAATGCGGTTTTCCTAAATCAACAAATCTTATTTTCCATTATACATCACCATAACTATGACATCTAAGAGTGCCGCTCTAAAACAATTCTGAAGTGTCATGGCCAATATTTGGCATTTCTTCTTGGGAAAAACAATTGTTTTCAGGATAATACAGTGACACCAGCTTTGAAATCATCTTGAATGTCTTGTTATTCTCAAAACTGCCTCACAAGTCCTAGTATAGCACATGGCTCCTTGTTTGATAAACCTTGTAAAAGTGGATTTCATGTTATTCACAAGGGGTTAGTTTATTCAGAAAGATCAAAAAGGAGGGGAGGAAGGAAGGAATGAGGGGGCAAGGCAGTCTTATTACTGTTTTCTAGAAGACTTGAGCTATAGAATGAAGAGTGTGTGTGTGTGTGTGTGTGTGTGTATCATAACATTCAAAAGTCACTTCATGGTGGCATTGTTCCAATTTTCAATTGCCAAATTGCTGTTCCTACCTTACTGAGAAGTATACATGAATAATTCATCCCAATCCTCATTTGTCTATATTTTCTAAATTTCTTACAATGAGCTTGTATTAATTCTATAAGCAGAAGAAAGAAGCATTTTAAATGAAAAAAATGCTTTAAGGTTTGCCAAAATATTGTGATTTCATCATTTAATGTTATTTCCTCCTTATCTAGTTCTACTACTCACAAATATGAAATGTGGTGGTAACTGGGAATTACTTTATCTCTAACGCTTTACTGTGAATTTGAGGTAAGTATGTAATACTGGCTACAAAATTATTATTTTGCCCCTGTTGTTACTAGGAGACTACAACACTCAACTGGCAAATGTTAACAAGTAGCAAAGCAAATGTAAACACCATTTGCTTTACTGATATTTTAATAGGTTTCCCTTGCTGTAAGGTCTCTTGACACCATAACATGATATATATGCAAATATCGTTTAAATTGTTGAATAAAAATACAATGTAAGTGGATCAATAATTAGATCCCTACAAATTTAATATACTAGGAGACTCAGCTAAAACAAAGAATGCAACAGAAAAATGTGATTTTATCTGCCAGATTAGACCAGCCTAAATGGATAAATATAGATGGTTCAAAGGTCAGCGACCGCAGAATTACACACATATGTAAGTGTGTCATATTTTTTTTTCTTCAAGGCCCTATTCAAATTGTACCTCTCCCCTGAGGTTTTTCCTGCTTTTTCTGGAATGGTCTCTCCATGGCTTTTCCCATATTTTCTCCATTTTTATCATAACATTTACTCCTATCTCATACTGTATTGTTCCCTTCCTGAGGCACATAATTACACACATTTTAACATTTCTGAAATTGAGATGCATCCTATAATTTATAAGTATATTTAATGTGGTATTGTTCTCCTTCCTTCTTTCCCTTCTGCACCCTTAATCAACTCTCATTAAATCAGTGGCCGGATTAACAATTGATCAAGCTGTGAATAGCCTTGCAATCTGCCTACCTGGAGGACAGGTAACACACCTGCTGATGCTTGTATTCTCTAAGAAGATGGACCAGAGTGCTTTCAGAATAGAGACCTGGGGGAACTTCAATTAATAACCACAGGCTCTCTTAGACTGAGAAAAGAGAAGACTTTTAAAGAAATGATCACCATCAGGAGACATTTTTGGATTTGTATAACCAAAATGTCATCTAATGATTTCTCCTTCATCTTTCCACATTTATATTAGCATTCTAAGTCTTAATCTCAGACAGCTCTATGATATTTGTCCTTATAGCAGCAAACAGATCAGACTTTGTATGTTTTCTGTAAGTGACTCAAAGTTCAAAGCCCTAACTTGCTTTTCTTTCTGTAGTGGACATTGTGTTGGGCCATCCAAATATCTCCTCCCTTTCAGGACTAAGACACTCATTTTCCCAGCTCCTGGGCGTATTGGTAGCTGACAGCTCATAATTGGGTCCTGCTGCAGAGATTGTTCTCTGCTAAACCTAGGCTCATCACCTGCCTGGGAGCAGCCCCCAGTGAATGACTGGTCAGGTATACAAAGGCTGGGCCCCTTGCCCCAATTGGGGATGATGATACAGAGTGGCCACAGCTGCAGAGCAAACAATGGAATGGGCTGAGGTCTTGGTTGTGAATGCCTCACAGACCAGTTTCTTCCTCTATCCACTTTTGCTTTCTTCTCTTTCCCACAAAGGTTGATCCAAAGATTACCACCTCCCAGGGAACCTGATCTGCAGCAGGTAGGGTGTTAGGAGTGCTCAAAACAATGGCTCACAAATAAGATGTTGGAGCTGGATCACCCATGAGCCAGGCAGCAATAATGATGGCTGTCACCAATGGCAGTTAGATGCCAGTGTGAGGGAAGACTTTCACTGATGGTGAGCCAGCACCATATGCTAGTGAAACGAAATGTTTAGCAGGTCCAATGTATGAGGCATTTGAGAAACATGGAGGAAATAGGCATCATATGGGTAATTCATCAATAATTTAGATTGAGTGCAAAAGCCAAAGGCGGCTTTGCAGCATCATCAAGTGACTCTCATTTCCTGCCACTGCAAGACAGACAAAATTGATGATCAAGCCCAAGATTTATAAGAATAAGAGTTGCATCACTCCCAATACCTCAAGATTCCTGGCAGGTCTATATACCCAGGTCAAGACCCTGATTAGGAAGGAACGGAACCTTGAGATATGAAATGGAAATGCTTGGCGTTGATGCATTTAATCTGAGTCCCCAGATTTTTCTGAATCTTCTGCAGAAGTGGCCTCCTCTTTCTTTTCAATGTCCCTCTTGATGGACTACAAGGCAGAAGGACTTTTCTCTTGCTAGACAAGATAGATTCCACTCAGGATCTGCCCTGGTCACCCACCTTCTGACCACTAAAACAGTAATTAAGTTTAACTTACATAACAAAATTTGGCCTAAGAAGTGCTGGACATGCTAAGCAAGGAAGGACTGGCAGGCCACAGGAGCTGTAGAACCCATACAACATGGATTGACAGAGGCCAGGAGAACATGTATGGGGCTGAGTTCTAAGGATTAAGGGAGTGGGTGGAACATAAAAGTGGATAAAGGAGAATTTATAGATATGAGAGTAGAGTAGGACTCAACCCTTGGCAAGAACCCAGTTAGATGGTGATAATATGCTACCAGGAGCATCCTTAATAGCTTACAGAAAGCAATGGCCCACACTAAGTAGTATAGAACTACTGTGGCACAGGTGACAGGAAAGATTAAAAGCATCAGAAGAGTGGCAATCACGGGTGTAGCAGATAAAGCTGAAAAGGCCACCAGATGACTTTGATCCACAAGAGGGCCCAGAAAGCGTTCTATCAACAAACCCATAAGGAATGGCCCAGTGCAAGGGGCAGCAGCATCACTGGGAAGCTCAGTGTTGAGCAACTTCTGTAGTTCATGGTTGACAATAGGAGATGCTATCATAGAATTGAGCTCCCTGGCAGCAATGTAGACCACTGGATCCCAACAGAATACAGATGTGGGAGGGGAGAACTTAGACATCGGGGACAAGGTAGAAGCAATTATTGACCAATGAACAGCAAGGACAGAGTGGCTGCCAAGAAGGACCAACCCTTAGAAAGACATGGAGATGCTTAAAAGAATAAGGCATCCCTATGGATGACAGAGAGTCATAGGGGTTATAGCTCATCCCACTAAACCTCTACTTATAAGTTCACTCCAGGAAAAGAGGGCCACCAGAATCTCAAATGGGCTGCTCCCCAAACATATATGAAGCAAGTCAATCTGAATGGGTCAAGGGGTGGACTGTAGTGTATGCTGCCTTGTGCCATCCAGAGTCTACTTTCCAGCACTGAAGGTCTCATTTCCCCAGCTGCTAAGAGTATCAGCAGCAGACAGCTCATGATGAGTCCCTCTCTAGAGATTCCCTCCATTGAAGAAGGCCACGCCCTCCAAGATTGTGTTCCCCTCCAGTGACTGGTCAAGGAGGAAATACAAAGTCCCGTCTCCCTTACCCTAATTCAGACAAATATGCAGAGCTATTCCAAAGTTCTTCTTGGAATTGACCAAAGTCCTTTTCAATGATTGCTTCACAGCCTGACTTTTTCCTCTGCCATATTTTTTTCCTCCACTCCTTACAGGTATCGATCGCAAGAGTGCCCCCAATCAACTTTCTGCAAGCAAATCTCTGTTTCATGGAGAACCTGGCCTGCAACATGACACCTCTCACCACATCTTACGTCAGCAGTTTCTAAATGTGTGCTGTGGACTTGCTACAGCAGATATGTTTGGAGAAAAAAATTCATATTTCTCATGTTCACCCCACACCTACAAAACCATAATCTCCATGAATGGGTCCCAAGGATGTGTATTTTTTCAAAGCTCCTCCTCCACTGCTGAATCTAGTGTATAGCTTGATGTAGAAACCACTGCTATACCAAAGGCTCAGCCTCAAATCAGCCTACAGCTTCTATCTTGCTCCATCTTCGTTTCAGCCACCAATAGAGTGGAGAAGCAATAAAAAGGTCAAAAGTAGGTAAATAAAATGTGAACCAGTATATAAAAGTTCTTCTGAGCAACTGGTATGTTTCTGGCTATTGGCAACTAATCCCACTTCCTCTTTTATCCAAGAAGCTCAAAACAAACTTTGTGGCCAACCTCTGGCTTTCAAATAGAACTTTATCATTTCTTCTGCCAAACGTTAACCTCACCCCTGGCTGCCTCTCATTTTTGCAATCCAATTTTCCTTTCACCCCAATTTCTTCATCTATTTCTTGTTGTTTTTTTTTTTATATTTCTCATATTTCTGTAGGCAGCCTCAAACCCATGTTTTGTTACTGTGGGGAACAAGTGGGGAATCAATTAAATGAAGGAGAAGGAGGAAGGAAAAATAAAGGGAAAGAGGAAAAAATGATCCTGTCAGTCCTAGGAGAAATGGAAGCAGGAGTGTGGATGTACAGGACTCAAATTATTCCAGAATACAGATTATCATGAGCTGCTTGTATAACACCATTATTTTAAAATGAGAACTCACCACTGAGCATTTTAAAAAATAGCAGATAGTTAAATTTGTAAGATCCATACTAAGGTGAAAGGGAGAGAAGGAGTAGGAGGATGAATTTGGCCATGGTTCTTTTGTGCCCTGTTGCCCTAAGTGAAGTTTCTGGTTTCAGTGTTTGTCCTCAGGCATTACAGTTTTTGTCCCCCTGCCTGGCATTGGTCCTTTAGACCCAGAGTACTCACAACATCTGTACACAAGGCAGTCAATGGGGAACGGAAGGTGTCGGGGGCAGGGATAGAGGATATGTTTAGAAATCATTCTCACCTTGTCTATAGAGTGATCTTTATTATAATTTCAGATCTTTAAATTCCCTTCTGATTCTGTCCTTTCTCTACCCAGTAGCCCCTGTGTGTTTTATATTAAAAATCCGTGTCATGGGAGGGAAAGTGAAAAGCTTTCTCTGGAACCAATCTGGAATGGAAACCTAATAATGTTTTTTTCAGGCTGGATAAATGTCTTAAACAAAAGTGCCAAAAAGGCTGACATTGCGTCCCTGATTACAAGCTTTTTCTCTCCTTCTGTAGTTGGTAATTATTAGGAAGAATGAAGCTATGGTTTCCAAATATATCTGAAATTTAGAAATACAGCTTGCACATATTGGACTTCATTTTTTCCTTTCTGGAAGGTAAATGATAATGATTAATAGCAATTCCACCTGTGGGACTCCTGGGCCACTTGGTCCCCTAAGGAAAAATGAGAAAATAAAATCAAGCTAAAATGCATTTGTCTTCATTTCAAGAGTATGTGTTATTCACCTCTATTTATTTAATGGTGTGTTCTACCTATCAGTCTTTCCAACATTCTTATGCCTCCTAGAGGACATGCAATGGCCCTGCTACATTCCAGGGCTTGCCCCTGGACTAAGCTTGCCATGCAGCCTAGCTTCCCACCCTCAGGTGCCTTTTGGTACTTTAGGAACACCTGCTTTACAGGGAGCAGCAGGTTTGAGCCAGTTGGCCCATACCAGAATATGGGGAGAATCTCAAGGGTTCTTGCTTAAGCCCACAAAGGCCCTTGACTGTATGTAAGGGCTACCCTAGTCTGGGGCTAGAGGCCCATATGTGCTCATAAGAGCTGAGAAATCTAAAGCCAGAGGGCTCTTAAAACAGGGGATAAGCTCCTCTCTTGAGTGCAAACGACTTTTGAGAAAATTGCCGAGTATTTGCCTGTCTTATCTGGAGCACAGAGATGGCCTCACATGTGTATGGCACGTTATTATTTATCATGAACTTTACAATATTATTCATGCCATCTAATGATAGAGCCATAAAGGTGGCAGAACTGGTGTTATCATTTTCTTTACACAACCACCTCCCCTGCCTCAGCCCCAGATATTTATGTCTCTTGGTCTATGACATTTATGAATTTAAGTTTAGAATATACAAAAGAATTCATTTCATTCATCAGAAAGAATTCATTCCACTAGTACAGCTGCTAAAATGTCATCGTCACATCCCTTTGCACAGGATGATCATTTCTAGGCCTCAGCCTCCTTAGCCTTAAAAATAATGGATTAGTTGTTTCCAATTATTGGCTATTGTGAATAATGCTGTAATAAACACAGTAGGGCAGATATCTGTTGAAGATGCTGATGTGGTGAGGTGATCAATATGTTAGCTTGATTGTGGTCATTATTTCACAATGTATATGTACATCAAAACGTCAAGTTGTACACCTTAAATACATACAATTTTAATGTGTCAATTATACCTCAATAAAGCTAGGGGGGAAAGTAAGGGGTTGGAATTGTAGGATTGCTTAGCATCCGCCTAGCCCTAATACTCTATTTGCTTAGAAAAAGGCCTAACCATAGTGCAGATCTTGGGCCATCAACAGCAGAAAGCACATGACCGTAACAGGAATTAGGTGGGGGAAATTCCCCCGTAAACACAGAAGAGCAGGATTAACTGGACAGGTGATAGCCTGTAGAGGAAAATAAGCACCACAGAGAAGAGGGACAGCATGTGGTCAGACTGTTAATGACGCCACACATACCTTCTGGGTTGGGTGATATATCCATGACACTTGGAACAGTGATGGATTAAATCAGAGACATTCGAATACATAGGGAGGGCAAGAGTGAATCCAACTTCAAGACAACTAAAGCAGATTATCCATTTCAAGATTGAACAGGCATCCACACAGGAGAAGATCTGTTACTGATAATAAGATCTGGCTTCTTCTCCTCCCTCTTCTCCTTTTCCTTCTCTTTCTCCTCCCCCTCCCCCCTTCTTCTTCTTCTTCTCCTCCTCCTCCTCTTTTTCTTCTTCTTCCTCTTCTTCTTTTAAGAGATAGCATCTCACTCTCTCATCTAGACTGGAGGGCAGTAGTGTAATCATGGCTCACTGCCACCTCAAACTCCTGGGCTCCAGCCATCCTCCCACCTCAGCTTCCCAAATAGCTGGGATTACAGGCATGTGCCATGATGCCCAGCTAATTTTTTTTTAATTTTTTTGTAGAGAACGGATCTCACTTTGTTGCCCAGGCTGACGATCTGGCTTCTTTGACAATGGTGGGAAATTCCTTTTTTTTTTTTTTCATTTACTTTGCTGGCCTCCCTTCTCAGCCTCTTTGCAGACTCCTCCTCCTCTATTATAATCTCTAAGTATAGCTGTGTCCCAGGGCTCAGTCCCAGGGCTTTGTCTCTTCTCTACCTTCCATCTGTCCATATGTCATATCATCTAGGCTCATGACTTTAGCATCTCTATGCTGAAGATTCCTGTATTTACATCTTTAGACCTCACTGCTGCACTGAGCTTCAGATTCATATCCAAAGGCTGATTGCGCATCTCAAACGTACTATGATCAAAATAGACTCATGCTCTCCTGTCTTTCCCCCAACCCCACTAACATAAATCTCCCTCCTTACATATTCTTCCAATCTCAGTAAATGGCTCCACCTTCCACCAGTTATTTGAGCCCCAAATCTAGGCATCATTCATGATTCTCTTTCCTTTTTCCTTCTATCTTCACAATCACTTTATTCTATAAATCCCGATGGCTTCTGCCCATTAACATATTCATCCACTTTTCTCTGTCTCCACTGCAACTATAATCCAAATTACCATCATCTCCTATCTAGACCACTGTAATGGTAGTTACAATAGCTCTAGTTTCCAGACCCATTATCCAACCTATAGGTGTAGATATTTGAACCTACTTAAGTCAACCTGATTCTCTCTCCTGGGAGTCTGAAATTTTTTGTGTAGATAAGAACACTTTAAAGATCCACCCTCGGCCGGGTGCAGTGGCTCACACCTGTAATCCCAGCACTTTGGGAGGCCGAGGCGGGCAGATCACAAGGTCAGGAGATCAAGACTATCTTGGCTAACACAGTGAAACCCCGTCTCTACTAAAAATACAAAAAATTAGCCAGGCGTGGTGGTGGGCACCTGTAGTCCCAGCTACTTGGGAGGCTGAGGCAGAATGGTGTGAACCCGGGAGGTGGAGCTTGCAGTAAGCCGAGATCGTGCCACTGCACTCCAGCCTGGATGACAGAGCGAGACTCCATCTCAAAAAAAAAAAAAAAAAAAAAAAAAAAAAAAAAAAAAAAAAAAAGATCCACCCTCTTACTTTTTAAGTATGTAATATAGGATTATTAGTTATAGGCACTATACTCTACCATGGACCTCTAGAACTTAATCATCTTGCATAACTGAAACTTTGTACCCTTAAAGAAATCTGAATCTTAATCAAGGAAACACATAGAAATTCCCCTCCAGCATATCTTAATTTTAGGAAGCTAGCAGGAACTGAGCCATTTCAAGGTTAGCACCAGGTGGAGTCAATCCAAGGGTTCCTGACCTTAAGATCCTAGAGCTTTCTTGGGTATTGTTTCTCCAAGGTTTTGTCATTCAGCTCTCCCTTTAAATTGGCGAGCCACCCAGTATCTCCCCCTAGGGAAGGGTATAGTGAAAAGTTTCCCTTGGGGACCTCTGAAGAATCCACAAAATGAGCCCTAGTTGGATGTTTGCCATGACAGATGACACAAAAGCCGATTGGTACATCCACAGTCCTGATACTGGTAGACAGGGACTTTTCAATTTTATTCACTATTATCTCCTTAGTGTTTAGGATAATACCTCCCTAATACTACAATACATTAACAAAAAATTGTTAAATGAATTAACGAATGTTAGCCAGGCAAAGAAGGAGGGAAGAGAGAGATTTCCAGACAGAAGTGTCATGTTGAGATGAGAGACAATGGTATATTCAAGAAACTGAAAGGAGATCAATTTGGGTGTGGCCTAGATTGCTGCGGTGGTGGTGGGGAAAGGGGTTATAGATAAGGCAGGAGAGATAATCAATGGTCAGATTATGAACAACTCTATGCCAGGTAAAAGTTTAAACTCCCTGGAGAAGGAAAAGGGGACATCTTTTTAAAAATTTAAGCAGGAAAGAAAATGATAAAATTTGCATTTAGAAAGGTCATTCTGGCTGCAATGCAAAGATCTGGGCTGGGAGAGAAGATGAACTGAAAATAGGGAAACCAGTCGGAATCTGTTGAAGTAATGTAGACAATAGACTTTGGTGGCTAGCCTAGGGCAGCATTAATGTGCTGCAGTGTTTTGAGAAGAAGTTTTAAAAGGGAAAATCATGGTGATGGGGAACTTGCAGGTAGGGATGATGTCCTCATTTCTAGCTTGTCTGCCAGACGCCATTCACTAAACTAGGGAACGTGGGGGAATAAGCAGGTGTCAAATGAATGGTGATGAGTTGAGTTCTGGACAGGAAGAGTTTAGGACATGCAGGTGTGGAGGTCCAGGAAGCATCTGGAAATGAGTCTGCAGCTAAGGAGAGATAAATGAGCTAGAGATGTGGATTCTATAGTCATCAGTGTAACAATATAACTGAAAACATGGAAGAAAGAAGGCCCAGGACAAAACCTTGAGGGACACCAGCACTTAAGATCAGGTGGAAGATAAGAGATAAGGGAATAATTTGGAAGCAAAGAAAACAGAATATTTCACGAATGAACGCGCAGTTAAAAGCTGCTCTGAAATCAAGTGAGTAAAGGACCTCAAGTTTGCACTGGGTTTAGCCAGAGGGATATATCGTGAGGACTTTTTGAAAATAATTTCAATGAAGGGAATAGAAGGCGGTCAATGAGTGAGGTCCAAAGGGACAGGAAAAAGTCAAGAAGTGAAGACAGCAACTCTTCTTAGGAGTTTGTCTTTATAGGGGCGAGGGAGAAGTCAATTTCTGGAGAGGGATTTGGGCTTGAGGAAGTTTTTTGTACATTTAATCTGCAAGCATGTTAGCATCTTTAAACAGAGAAAGGAAGAAACCAAAAGGGAAAAGAGGTTAATAAATAGAAGATTGGACAGAAAGTGAAAAAGATGAAAAAGTATTGCAAGCCAACTCCTTATATTTCCCCATCAACTGTCTCTCCTATTTCCCACAGTAACTATTTTGAAGTTTTCTGCTCCCCAAAAGTATTGGACTCCCCACGCCCTCTCACTACCCACTGAAGATAGCTCCTCCTCCCTCTCAGAGTACGCAGAAGCCATCAGTCAGGGGCGTCCTGGACTTTGTATATCCATGCCCAACTTTTCCTCCTTTTGTTCTCATACACTGAAGGAAGTTTCCCAACTCCTGTTTAGAGATACTGTCCCACTTCTCTTTCCCATCCATTCCCATCCAGCTCACACAGCCTCTACTTTGTGCCAGTGTGTCATAGGCCCTGGAAACACAAAGGGGAAAAGACAGAGTTCTTCGCCTCAAGGAGTTCAAGGTTTATTGGAGAGAAAAGTAGGTAACCATACTACAAAAAAAAAAAAAAAAAAAATAGGCAACCATACTACAAGACAGATAAGTGAAATAAAATATTGTTAGTGCTGCCAGGCATGGTGTCTCATGCCTATAATCCCAGCACTTTTGGAGGCTGAGGCTGGAGGATCACTTGAGTCCAGGAGTTGGAGACAAGCCTGAGCAACATAGTGAGACCTGGTCTCTACAAAACAAAACAAACAACAACAACAAAAAATTAGCTGGGTATGATGATGCATGCCTGTAATCCCAGATACTCAGGAGGCTGAGGTGGGAGGATCACTTGAGCCCAGAAGGTCAAGGCTGCAGTGAGCCATGATCCAGCCAGCCACTGCACTCCAGCCTGGGCGACAGGGCGAGACCGTCTCCAAAACATCTTTATATTTATACTATTTATATTTATGTTGTTACTGCTGTGCTCAAAGTGTGAAGAGTCCTGAATGACCCCACATGTCTCCTTTGGGCTCTCAGATAGTAAATCCTAGGTGTCTCCTAAACATCCAAAGACTAGGCCCCTTCAATTCACCAGCCCCAACCCATCCAAAAGCACCATGGTAGTCCTAGGAAAGATAATTTTAATATTGCAGAAGAAAACAAAACTCAGAATCTTCTGAGATGCATTGGACTTCATAGAAACAAAACTTTCTATAATATTTTGAAATACAAATGTACTCAATATATTTTCCTTCAGTGTTAAACATACAAAGCCTCCCATTTCATTTCAAGTGTCATCATTATTTATTTCTTGGTAGCAAATCTTAATTGCCAGGTTCCAAGGACAGAGCTGTGGAACAACACAAGAAAATCCCCATCATACAAGTTGGAACCGATACGACTTGATAATTGATTGGCTTAGTGGTGAGGAAGATGCCCAGATTCTTGGCTTAGGCCAGAAGACAGGAGAAGGAGTGGCATTAATACTTGAATATGCAAGTAGGAAGGTAAGCATGATAGACAATGTAATTACCACCATGTTGAGTCTGCTACATTAAGAGTGAAGTGTATTCATGTATGAATAACTTAAATGTATGAAATATTCAAACTATGTCAGTTTAAACATGACATTTGAAATATATAGTTTCCAATGGTTTCTTCCTTAGTAATAAATAGTCACCATCTGGGCATCATCAATAAGATACAGGGACACCTTCCCAAACACCCAAGAAATGAAATTTGAGAAAGAGAGCAGTCACTAAAGCAAATTAAAAGGACTGTGCAGCAGAGACTGCTATATGCCTCCCAATATCATTTTCCTTAACTTTCTTTTAGTACTAGAAAACTTTCAGTTTTAGTTGGAGACACAGCCATTGAGCTAGAGACTTTATTGTCCAGGATCCCTTGCAGGTAGGCCAATGGGACGAGCAGCTTCTGGGTTATATCATTAAAAGAAAGCTGGTTGCCCTTAATTTTCTCTTTCCCTCTTCTCTTGTGTTGGAAAAAGGATATGATGCTTATGACTTGACTTTGACCCTGCAGCTGAGGACAATAGTCTGGGAAGGGAAAGCAACAAGTTCAAAGAAACTCAAAACCCAAGGTGGCCAGTGGAGCAGAATCCTCTTCCCACCCTGGACCTCTGCTTATCCCCACCTCTGGACTGTTATGTGAAAGAAAAGTAAATGTCTAGCTTATGTGTGCCACGGTATGTTTGGGTCTTTGTTAAAGCAGCCTAGTCTGATCTTGACTAATAGAAACTGGTTCTAGATAACTGTCTCCAAAAGAGGAAGCCCTGCTGGTTTCTACCACAACCAGCTGAAGATAACCACATATCCTAGTGGAACCCAGTGATCTTCATAACCTAGAGAAAATCATCAACCCTCTGGAAATGGTCACATCTTCCTTGCTTTCCTATTTACCCTCTCTACCCAACCAGAGTCTACGGAAAGCAACTGCGACAAGGACGGCAGTAGCGTGACATACACAGAGCACAATGGATTTGTTGTTTCTAATTACATCCAATGTCATTGAAGCAGTTCAGCATTTTTCATCAAGGTATTTAAGGGAGAAAAAGAAGCAGGAATTGAAGGTAAAGGTACACTTCACCTCTTGCAGCTACATTCCATCAGTCCATCAATACAGACAACAATCTAGCAGTGAGGGATTTTACAGGCAAAGCTTATACAGAACAATGACTTTTAAAAGCCCACCCCTTGTGTACACTAACTTGACAGCAATACGCTACCATTTGTTCTAAGAACTATTATCACTGTGCTCCCACACATGGGAATTGTTCGCTATTTTTCCTAGTGACGTCTTCCACATTTTTTCTATTATCCACTGAATGTTAAACTAAATTCATATTAGAATATAGTTTTTTTCTGAAAAAGAAGCTCCTATATTGCTAAACTGGTACACCAAAACATTTTCATTTTTTATAAGAGTTAGGATTTGTTGTTGATTGTAAACCCAATAAACAAGCATCCCTTTAATGCCTCATTGACAGTTGCACAATATCTCTACCCTCGTACCAACTGAGTTTTATGGAAACTATTTCAACAGAGTAGACATTTATCATCACAGGAGAAACTCCCATTTAGACATTAACTACCTTAGCTGTACTAAAAACTCATTTTCCACAGATGTCCAGCTATGATTTACTCCTTTTTAATCAGGAAATAAATAAGATCTGGTAATAGCTTCCTGTGGCAAGGGGTACCCTTTATTATACTGCAGGAAATAGATACCAACCAGTCAGAGAACAGCCAGAGGGCTTGCCCTTCTTACCAATGAAACTGGATTTTCACTAAGCCAATTGCTATCAAGCTAATTTTTAAACAGGAAACAGACATTTAGGATACTTATAAGAAACACCAAATATACAATCTATGAGATTTTCAAATGTGCATTGATACATATTCAAGTATTAATGCCACTCCCTCTCCTGTCTTCTGGCCTAAGCCAAGAATCTGGGCATCTTCCTCACCACTAAGCCAATCAATTATCAAGTCGTATTCGTTCCAACTTGTATTATCTTCTGAATTTGTCTACCTCTTATATTTCCAATATCGCATGCTACAGTAGTCACCATTATCTTGCACCTGGTTCACTGAAACAACAAACTCCCATCCACCCCGTTTTTTCTCTGCCTTGCCATTCCAGTGATCTTTTGAAAATGGACACAGGATGGGGAATATCACACACCGGGGCCTGTTGTGGGGTGGGGGGAGGGGGGAGGGATAGCATTAGGAGATACACCTAATGTAAATGATGAGTTAATGGGTGCAGCACACCAACATGGCACATGTATACATATGTAACAAACCTGCACGTTGTGCACATGTACCCTAGAACTTAAAGTATAATTAAAAAAAAAAAAAATATATATATATATATATATATATATATATGAAAATGGAAGCTCATTCCTTTTGGGAAAGACTGGAACGTGTAAGTGTGGTTTTAAAAGTCTGCATGATCTGCTCCCCTGCCTAGTTTTCTGGCCTGAAGTAGTACTTCCATCTACTCCCCGTCCTGACCTCTGACACGATGTTCTGTTTATTTATAAAGCACTTACAGTTCCCTCAAATAGAACAAGTTCACTTTGCCTCTGCCTTCGCAAACACTGTTTCTTTTGCCCATAACACCCTTCCCCCACCCTCTCCACTCCCTTCCACCTTTCCTTTAGCTGCTTTGCTTCAGTTTTCAGCATTCACGTCACCTTCCTAATGAAGACGTCTGTGGTTTTTCAAGACTAGACTAGGTCCCCTTCCTGCATTGTTCCCAGGCATCTAAGTGAACGCTCAATAAACTTTATCGATAACAGCATTCCTAATATTATCTAGTTAATCTTGTGGGATTTTGTTCAAAAGATTCCCAGGGGGTTGTGCTCAGGCATGGTTATTACACTGATTTTCAATTCTGATACACACAATGCCAGCCCATTGAACTTGATGATCTCACTAATATTGCTAGGGGCATCAGTTAGAAACTGCAATAAGCTGCTAGTATCAGAGAACAGAACTAATAGAGGCTTAGACAAAAGAGAAGCTTATTGCTCTCTCACAGAAAGGAAAGTCCAAAGATGGGCAGTTCAGGGCTGGTGCTGCAGCACACAAAGTCATCGGGGGCTGCAGCTCCATCATCTTTAGCGTGTGACTTCCATTCTCAAAGCTGCAAATGTCTCACCTTCATTCTAGATGAGAAAAAGGGATAGAGTAAGGGGATTCTTCTTGATGCCTTACTTACTGCCTTCAGTTTACATCACATTGGCCACCCATACATGCAAGAAATATTGTGGAATGTAGTCTTTTAGCTGAGCACTCTGGCACCTCAAATAACATCTTTCTAAGAAAGAAGGGGAAAGTGAATACTGCATAGAAAACTACCAGTTCATTCCATGGTCAGTCTAGTTTCATAATTCATTGTTTAAGAAAATAATTACCCTGTTTTATAAATTCAAACTTTATGTAATCTAATAAACAATAAATTGTTAAGAAAGAAGAGTCACAGAAAAGACTTTTAAAACAACACATTTCGAATATGAAAGAGGTATTAGACAATTCAAATCACGTGTGATCTTTCAGGAACACATCTCTTGTGTATAGAGAGGGACATCCTCATACAAATACCTCGCTTATTCACTCATGTGTTATCCACAGTGAACTATTATTAATGGGTAACGTTGCATGTCCCACCTTATTTGCTCCTCACCTTATATAGCAGGATTATCATCCCCACTTTGTAGATGAGAACACTGAGGCAAGAGGTTAAGTAACTTAGGTCGAAGAACATTGCTGGTGACAGCATCGGCATCAAAGCCAGGTCTGTGTGACATTCTCTTTACTCTGTCATAGAACCTCCCTACATAGCCCACTCTCCTGACTCCTAACAAGAACTAATGATTCTGTCACTCCAAGAATAGCATTTCCAGAGTGACACCCATGAACTGAGCCCACGCTGGCCTGTACTTAGTGGAAATTATTGGCCACTTTATTGTGCTTAAGCATATGATGGGCAACTGAATTAGGTGACTCAGGGTATTAAAGCTGGAAGGGTCTATATAGATCATTTAGCATCACTCTACTCATTTTTGAGGTGAGAACATTAAAACTGGCCAGAGTCACACCAGTGAGTTGCACTGCTAAGGACTGAACATGGGACTCAAGGCTCTCATTATTTCTAGGTGCTCTTCCTCTGCAGCACCTCTCAGTTTTCTCTTTCCAAATCTTTTCCAAATCCAGCTTAAATTCCATTGTGTTCTTACAGCATTCCATGATTTTCCAAATGAGAATTAGTCATTCTTTGCTCTCAGCTTACATTATACTTTAAACCTCTGTTTTAGCACTTCATTCCTTCTGCTTTATATTAATTTTGTATGTTGGTCACCCTTTCTAAACTATAAACCTGTTAAGAACTTATTTTTGTATAACCTTCAAGTATCTAGTTCATTGTTTTGTCCATACTAGGTGTTCAACATGTACTTATTGAATGAATAATGATTTAACAATATTTTAGCATTTCTTTAATTCAAATGTTTCCATCAAAAGTTATCTCTCTCTAGGCTGGAAAATAAGCAAAACTGTGCTGATTTCTCTGTATTTGTTCTTTTCATATTGTGCTTTTTTGGTTTGTTTCCCTATTTGAAGCATCCTCCAGTAGAATGCAAGATCTGCATAAACAAACTTATTTACATTTGCCCCTGCCATCCCTAAGGCTCAGCATTGTTTCTGATACAGAGCCAGTACCCAAACACCCAATAAATGATAAACAAGTGAATGAATCGTCTCTTCCATTTCACAGACACTCAAGGTTTTTGCAGTTTTGATCCAAGTCTTTCAGAAACATGAACTCGCCAGAGATAAATACCTCAAAACAGCCATTGCATTCTTCCAAAGAAATCATTGTGGGATGTGTGAGAGCATCAAGTTGGCAGATGCACAACATGTCTTAGGAAAAATGGGAGTGTAACTGTCAAGGAGAAAAGATGAGAACAAGAGTCTGAAGCTCTATCATTAACTGTTCCCACAATAATGCTGACTATCAACCAACCACAACACTTCAAAGGCATACAATGATAAATAGTCCTTACCCATGCCTCTGGGATGGTTGATTAGGCAGCTCTGCTGATCTTGGCTGGGTTGAATGGATGAATCTTCTGGCCTCGGTTGGATAATATCACATGTTTAGGAAGATGTATTGATGTATAGAGGTCAGCTGATTATCAGCCAATATAGGATACTCTTGGCTGGAATGACTGTGCTAATTCATCTCTTTTCCAAGTGTCTCTAATCACCCAACAGACTAGCACAGATAGTCTTATGTTGATGAAGAAGGTAAGAGTGATAACAAGCCTGATTTTGCAAATACTTTAAAGCCTTTGCTTGACCAATGACTTGCTTTTTGACAAGTCATTGGCCAAAGCAAGTCTTATGGTTGAGACCAGAGTCAGAAATGGAAGAGCGCTATAAAGTTATGAAGCAAAGATGAAGAGGCAAATAATTGGAGACATTTTTGCAAATCTATCATAAGGGCAAAGATTGAAATTACTTGCTTAAAATCTTTTGCTCCTAGTCCATACTAGCAGGCTTAATAAATATTTGTTGAACAGATATACAGATTAATGGATGTATAGATGTCTGGATGAATGAATGAAGCTAGTTTACAGAGCTCTTCAAAGAGACAAGTCATCAATAACTCAACTAGTATCTTGATGATGCTAGCAGGAAAACATTTGTCCACAGATATCCATAAGATCTTACAAAAACAGAAACAAGCACGAAATTACTGGGCCCATCAAGCAGTATGGGTTGGGTTTTCAAGAATCCTTCTAAGAGGAATATGAGGTTTTTCCAAGGTGTCCACCTTCTTTACCTATCACAAACCTACCTGCACAATTAAGCTGAGTTTTTCATCACAGTGGTATTAAGGACATTCTAATATCTGCAATTCTTGTTTTCTTTACTAAACAAAAACGGCATCAGAGAAGTATTTTTGTTCTCAAAGACAAGCTCTTATTGCAAGAGCAGCAACACTAACAGCCTCCAGAATCATAGGTAGCCTCTGAAAAGGCCATGCAACATTTTCTGAAGCTTTCAGGCAGATATCTGCACAGGAACTAAAACTGGAGAAGAAAATTCTCTATTGGTGATTAGACTGCAATAGAAAATTATAAACTTAAATTCAGAACTGTGATAGCCTCCTCTATACTCCCTTTCTCTAAACCCAAGGGCAGTAAGTAGCATTCTGGTATAATAGATTTAATAAAAAATTAGTTTATTCAGGTGGAAGGGCTAGGATGGCAAGATTTGACTAATTGTACTTAAGGGAAACAGGGAAAAATGGAACACATGTTTCAAGAAATAAAACCAAGAGCTTTGTGAGTTATATATGATAAGCAAATGGTAGCTATCAATTATCAATACTATTTCACATTTTAGATTGCTCTGAAGGACATGAAAAGTCAGATATGTATTCACAATAATAACTAACATTTATTGACTTAGTATATGCCAGGTTGTATACTAAGGACTCTTTATTTATTATCTCATTTAACCCACAAACCACCGTATAAGATGGTATTTTTCAAATGTTTACATTTTTTCCTACACATTTTACAGAGGAAAGAGCTTATTCTACTAAGAGTTGGGTGACCATGCATTCTGGTTTGGCCAAGAGAGTCCTGATTTATACATGTTATCCTGGCATAATTATTAATGACACCACTATTCACTCTCAAAAGTATCCTGGTTTGGGTGATTATTATGCTCACCCTGGTTAAGAGGTTTGTCCACATAGCTTGTAAATGGCAGAGCCATGGAGAGAAGCTGGGTCAGTCTAACACCAGAGCTAGCAACTTCACCTCACTGAAACCCTCACTGTCTTAGCAGTTCAGCCATAATGATGACTGACTCAAGTCTATTCCTCTGGTATCTGCCAGCTTACATCTGGAAACTGACTTAAGATTTGGAGATGCTCAAGTGTATTAAGACTAGGAAATAAAACTTCAGTAAATTCAGGTTGTATTTCAAAAAGACTGGAAAAAAAACCTGAATTGTGCAAAAACCTGGAAAAAAAAAAAGGAGAGAGAGATGCTATTCAAAGCAAAGTCTCTGAAATTATTGGATAGAATTTAAAACAATCATTTTACATACTTAAATATCAACTTATTTATTTAACTGCTATTGCATTTATTGAATTTACACACTCAAGAGTCCAAGATTCTATCCCTGTTCTCAAGTAAAAGGAACAACTTCACAGTTGATATATCCTTGCTCTTTTCCATTTATTTTACTAACAGTAAATAGCAACATTTACTTCTTTTATGCAACAGAAACGATAGCTTATATTTCCAAAGAGGGTCAATTTGGGTAAAAGGGAAGTCAACAAAAACATAAATTCCTTCTTTCACATTCCTCCCTTCTCCCAGCAGTAGGAAATATATACATTAGCAGCACAGAAATGTAAAGGACCTAAGGATGAAAACTGTAGGGATAATGCAAATAGGATTTCTTATATTTACTCATTATGAGTAGATTTCTTGAGAAAAGAGACAATCACCTGGGTTCTTTAGCTTGTATTAGCTGTTCTTTCCTATTGCTTAAGACTAGGAATTCAAGCACATTCTCCTTAAGCAAATCAGATTGCAAAAAAAAAATATGAACTTAGAGAGGTGGTTGTTTGCTCTTATAAAAGAATCACCATTAAATTATTTTGATAAAATATATTGACTAAATCAAAGGAGGGAGAAATAACTAGCAAAGAAAAATGATAATAATTGAAGGCATAGCAAATTATAAGAACAGAGATTTTAAAAGATTCATGGGGGAAAAAGCAATTTGAATAAACACATAGATGAGAAAGAAGAGGACAAGTAGAAATAAAGCCTTCTTATGTACTAATTAGAGAGTGTGGTGGTGACATTAAGACACTGTTCCCCCAAACTAGAATATACTGAGTGAAGTCAGAGAACCTGTAACTCATACGGGATAAATCCATTTTAGACAGTGAAAAACAGATGTTTTCAGTTGCTCGATTGCCCTGGAGAGAACTGTGGAAGCAATAATGTACACCCGACCTAGGAGACAGTTCTACTGAGTCCAAGGAGAATTTAAAGATAGAGATAGGAAATTCACTAACTCATAAGGGAAGGAAGGAATTGGGTGGACCTCAGCCATCTGCCTAACATTATCTAGAACCACACCTAAACCATCCCAAGCAGATGAGACCTCCAGAGATGTAGCTCCATGATCTCCTCTGGTCACCGTGTTCCGAGGTGGAACACTGGCCAGAATGTTTTCCTTCTTACTAACCGACAGTCATGTGCGGATTATTCTCTCTCATTCTGTTTGCTGTGGAAAGAAGAGCAGGCATGTCTCTGGTCGTCTTATTTTCTTATGGGGTCTGACAGGCACTGGCATTACTCTCCAGTGTCAAGATACCATTCCTGGATGCACATTATCAGGAGCTCCCACTGCCATCTCTAGGTTTATTCATTCGACTCCTTTAAGGCTTTCCGCCTGAAGGGGAATTCCTGGGCTTTAGGAATTAGTGCATTTTGAGAAAATAATTTTTTTTTTTTTTTGGAGGGCAGTGGCGCAATCTCAGCTCACTACAAGCTCTGCCTCCTGGGTTCATGCCATTCTCCTGCCTCAGCCTCCCGAGTAGCTGGGACTACAGGCGCCCACCACCACGCCCGGCTAATTTTGTTTTTGTATTTTTAGTAGAGACGGGGTTTCACCGTGTTAGCCATGATGGTCTCAATCTCCTGACCTCGTGATCGGCCCGCCTCGGCCTCCCAAAGTGCTGGGATTACAGGCGTGAGCCACCGTGCCCAGCCGAGAAAATAATTTTTAAAAGTTAACACGAATGAAATAAAGCCTCTCATAATTAAAAACACATTAAGACAAGACACTTGAAGTGAAACTTCATCCCAGTGGTGGCTCTCCAGGTATGGGGTCCAACTAGGGAGCCACCCAAATCTGTTAGAGTTTGATTGTCAGACAACAGAGATGCAGCAAAAAACTCCAGGCAGGCCAACATTTGATTAAGGTGGCTGTGGATTTTGAGAGCTTTTTCTGTTGTCTCAAATCCTGTTTCGAGCACCCTTTTTGGTAGAGTAAGGACTACTTTTACTAATACTATACATAATAATAGTAATGATAATGATAGAAAATTCCATAGTTACCAATTATTTGTGCTTACTGTGAATGGTAGGCAGAATAATGACATCCTCCTTCACCCTAAAGATATCCTAATTCTCAGGAACTATAAATATGTTACATTACATGGCAAGAGGAACTGAGGTCGCAGATGGAATTTGGTTGCTAATCAACTGGAAGCCTTCCTGCTAAGATAAGGCACAAGGCAAAGATGTACCCTGTCACCACTGCTTTTCAACTTTGTACATTTGTCCTAAGTAATGCACTAAGACAAGAAAAGGAAATATGCCAATTGGGAAGGAAGAAATAAAACCATTTTCATTGGCAGATGACATGATTGTCTATGTAGAAAATCTGCAAGAATCAACATAAAAAATCCTGGTACTAATAAACTATTATAGCAAGGTTGCAGGACACAAGGTTAATAAAAGCCAGTCACTTTCTTATACACCAGCAATGAATAATGGAATCTGACATTAAAAACATTTTATCATTTACATTAGAACCCCCAAAATCAAATACTTAGGCATCAATCCAAAAAAAGTGTATAAGATCTATATGAGGAAAACTATAAAGCTTTGATAAAGATATCAAAGAAGAACTAAATAAATGGACAGATATTCTGTATTCATGGATAGGAAGACTCAATATTAACAAGATGTCAATCCTTTCCGAATTGATCTATAGATTCAGCATAATCCTAATAAAAATCCCATCAAGTTATTTTGTAGCTAGTAACAAACTAAATTTTAAAGTTTATATGGAGAGGCAAAAGACCCATACGATTACAGGTGGAATGAAGGCTGCTAAACTGACTTTAAAATAGGGAGATTATCTTCAATTATCAGAGTGGGCACAATGTAACCCACAAGGATCCTTAAAAGTGGAAGAGGGAGGCAGAAAGTCAGTAGCAGAGTGAAGGGATATGAAAGACACTCACTCCACTGGCCGCTGCCAACCTTGAAGACAGTGGAAGGGGCCATAAGCCAAGGAATGCAGGCAGCCTCTAGCAGCTAAAAAAGGCAAAAAACCTGATTATCTTAGAGACACCAGAAAGGAAGACAGCCCTGCCCACACCTTAATTTTAGCCCAGTTAGACCCATTTTTGACTTCTGACCTCCAGCACTATGAGACAATTACTATGTGTTGTTGTAAGCCACTAAATTTGTTACAACAACAATAGGAAACTAATACACTGTGCCAAATTTTGAGCTACGCGGTTCATGTCCAATTAGTTCTAATTCTTACAAACACTGCAAGAAAGGCATAAGCATCCGGTTTATACAAATGAAGACACTGAAGCCCCAGATGGTAAATGACTTGCCCAAGACCTCAGTTAGTAAAATGCAAAGCTAGAGTGTAAGTCCAGGCTTGTTGGACTCCAAAGCCCATTTCTCTTCTTCTGCATTCAAAACTAACCCATGAGGCTTCAAACCCTGAACAACCTTTACTCCATGTCCAGATATGTGCTGCTCCACCTCAGCTGTTAGACTCACTCCCTAGAAGCTGAAGGAAAAAAAGAAAAATCCAATTACCATTTAAAAATAGCTCCCTATCTAAATGGCCAAATGAAAGTTTTATTTTAGACTAATTGGTCCAACTGGCTCTGTTTGATACTTCACTTATTCAATATATAGGATTCTTCTGAGGAAAAACATAGAAGGGCCAAGGGGTGACTCGTGAATGTAAGCTAAAAGCTTGGCTGAAAGCACTTTGAATCAATAAGCAAGCCAATGCTTTGGTCTGGGAAATTTACTAGAGTCAGGTTGGAAATGCACTTTTGTTTTTGCTTTTATAATTAATTACTGTTGCTAATGCTTTTTGTTATTATTTTTAAAATTAATTGCCAAGCACTGATAGTAGACAGCAACTTTTCACACATTGCTTAAACATACTGAGGTAAAAAATCAGAATCATAACTAGAGTGCATGTTTATGGATTACTAAAATGCTCACATAAGAATTACACACTAATTCAACTACAATAAAAAAATTACACTTGAAGAGCTTATTATATACTATTCCTTCCCCTTCTGAGAAACATTTGAGCAGAAGCCTAGCATGGTTACCATAACAACTATAATGCAAAATTGGCAGTAACTTTATGAATTGCAAATTCCTCTAAGGGTGTTGGGGATTTTTTTTCTACTTCCATTTTTAACCATCTCATATGCATTATTCCAGCAATATGTTAAACAAGGTTTTTGGGAACTCATGCATCACTTCAAAACAAGCTATGTTTTAAACCTTCAAATTTCATTATTCTAACAAGAGCAGAATTACCAGGAAACACCCAATTTACTGTCTTTCAAATTGTCCACTGCTTTTATTAATAACTGAGTTCTTAACATGTTGGATCACTTTTTCTAAAGAGAATCCAGGTAGTCAAATAAATGAAATCGCTATATTCTTTACCATCGTCTGCCCTAGAATCTCTCTGAGAATGGAGAAAGGGGATAGTCCTAGTTAAAAAACAAAACAAACAAACAAACAAAAAAAACACACAAAAAAAAACAAAACAAAAAACAAAACCACCCTTGTAATTTCACAATCTGTTTCTCCTTCTAAGTAATATCAGTTGGCATTTTGCATCAAAACTTTAATCAAACAAATGGTCAATCTTCATTGTTTTCCTTTCTCAGTCCCATTTTCTCTTCTACATGCTCATGAGCATGAAAATGACCCAAAGAGACAACTTGAGTAACTAGGGAGTTAGTTCCAGGACAAATTGTTTGCTTGGGTAGTTCAGAGACTGGCAAAGGTAGCCAAAACTATTGTGCTATACTACATATGCACATCTAAATACGTGTAATTGAGAGATGAGTTTACTCATATCATCATAAATGGTTCACGTCTTATCATTGCCAATTTCCTAGCTCTCTGACTTTGAGCAAGTCATTTGTGAGCTTTAGCTTCCTCATCTATAAAACAAGAACCTAAATTTTTGCCCAGTTCATTTCATAAGCCTGTTATAAGAATCACATGAGATGGTATGTTTGAATATTACCATGTCCTTTTAAAATACTGCTATTAATTCTTCTGAATTTTTATTTTAGATATTCAATACTAAGAATCTCCAAAATACGAAGATTCTTTATTTTCAGAATCCAGGATCAAGAGGAAAGGTGCTAATTCATGGATTGGGTATCTCAGGGTTAGAAATAAAGGTAAGTACAAAAATGTCAAAATTAAATTTTGTTATATGAAGATCTACATTATTGCCTCTGGTCAGTTTCCCATTTGGGAGACCTATTTGTTTGCAAAACATTAACACAGAAAATGACTGCACCCAAAGCACATCTCTCAGACAAGATTCTTAATGAGTTCCATCCAGATTCTTAACGAGTTCAGGGAGCATTTTGTGGAGACAAGCAAGTCTATTGGCTTGTTCTTTTTTTTTTTTTAACTTTTATTTTTGATTAGGGGGTACATTTTCTGTCCTGTTTCACAGCAACTTCCTGAGGTCAAAGGAACATTAGTTGTTTTCCTGCCCTTGAACGATAGCCTTCAAAAAGGATGTACGTATGGCCTAAACCTTTGATGGACATAAATTATGATATGCAACATAATCAGAGAAATATGGTGAAGAAACATTAAAAGAGGAAAACTCTGCTTGGCTTCTGAGGACTTTGTTTATTCATACACTCCGTCATTTGTTCACTCAGCATTTACTGACAGCCAAATATATGCTGCTTCAGTAAAGAAAGGGAAGAATCAGACACATATTTACTCCTGAAGAGTTCCCCAGTTTACTGGGGGAAGATACAGCCCTTTCTCTCTATCCCTCACTGCATCTAAGGGTCATGGGAACACAGAAATGGCAAAGACTAACCACAAATGGGGCAGGAACACGTGAGGAGAGAGAACTCAGGAAAGTGTTGTTCAATCTACACTCATATAGGAGAATCTTTCCAGGTGAAGAGGTGGCAGGGATTCCTCAGAGTACAAAGCATGTGAAAAGGCTCCGAAAGATGAAATCTGAATGCTGGGGAAGACCTCTGAGTAGCTGGAGCACAGAATGCCAAAGACGGAAAATAATGACCAAGGAGTCTAAAAAGTGGGTCAGGCCCAACTGGACAGTATGTGCATAAAAAATGAGGAGTCTCATGCCTGTAATCCCAGCACTTTGGGAGGCTGAGGTGGGTGGATCACCTGAGGTCAGGAGTTCGAGACCAGCCTGACCAATGTCAGGCCTCTGAGCCCAAGCCAAGCCATCGCATCCCCTGTGACTTGCATGTATATGCCCAGATGGCCTGAAGTAACTGAAGAATCACAAAAGAAGTGAATATGCCCTGGCCCGCCTTAACTGATGACATTCCACCACAAAAGAAGTGTAAATGGCCGGTCATTGCCTTAACTGATGACATTACCTTGTGAAAGTCCTTTTCCTGGCTCATCCTGACTCAAAAATCACCCCCACTGAGCACCTTGCGACCCCCACTCCTGCCCGCCAGAGAACAAACCCCCTTTGACTGTAATTTTCCTTTACCTACCCAAATCCTATAAAACGGCCCCACCCTTATCTCCCTTCTCTGACTCTCTTTTCGGACTCAGCCCGCCTGCACCCAGGTGAAATAAACAGCCATGTTGCTCACACAAAGCCTGTTTGGTGGTCTCTTCACACGGACGCGCATGAAATTTGGTGCCGTGACTCAGATCGGGGTACCTCCCTTGGGAGATCAATCCCCTGTCCTCCTGTTCTTTGCTCCATGAGAAAGATCCACCTACGATCTCAGGTCCTCAGACCGACCAGCCCAGGGAACATCTCACCAATTTTAAATCAGGTAAACGGCGTCTTACTCTCTTCTCCAACCTCTCTCACTGTCCCTCAACCACTTTCTCCTTTCCACTCTTCAATCTCTCCCTTTTCTTAATTTCAATTCCTTTCATTTTCTGGGAGAGACAAAGGAGACACGTTTTATCCGTGGGCCCAAAACTCCGGCGCCGGTCACGGACTGGGAAGGCAGCCCTCCATTGGTGTTTAATCATTGCAGGGACGCCTGATTATACACCCACGTTTCAAGGGTGTCAGACCACGTAGGGATGCCTGCCTTGGTCCTTTACCCTTAGCGGCAAGTCCCGCTTTTCTGGGGAAGGGGCAAGTACCTCAACCCCTTCTCTCCTTGTCTCTACCCCTTCTCTGCTTTTCTGGGAGAGGGGCAAGTACCCCTCAACCCCTTCTCCTTCACCCTTAGCGGCAAGTCCCGCTTTTCTACAGGGCAAGAACCCCCAATCCCTTATTTCCACACCCCAACCTCTTACCTCTGTGCCCCAATCCCTTATTTCCATACCCCAACCTCTTATCTCTGCACCCCAATCCCTTATTTCCACACCCCAACCTCTTATCTCTGTGCCCCAATCCCTTATTTCTGTGCCCCAACCTCTTATCTCTGCACCCCAACCCCTTTTCCCACTTTTCTGGAAGGTAAGAACTCCTGAACCCCTTCCCTCCGTTTCTCTACTCTCTCTTTTCTCTAGGCTTGCTTCCTTCACTATGGGCAACCTTCCACCCTCCATTCCTCCTTCTACTCCCTTGGCCTGTGTTCTCAAAAACTTAAAACCTCTTCAACTCACACCTGACCTAAAACCTAAATGCCTTATTTTCTTCTGCAATGCCGCTTGACCCCAATACAAACTCAACAGTAGTTCCAAATAGCCAGAAAATGGCACTTTGAATTTTTCCATCCTGCACAATCTAAATAATTCTTGTCGTAAAATAGGCAAACGGTCTGAGGTGCCTGACGTCCAGGCATTCTTTTACACATCAGTCCCTTCCTAGTCTCTGTGCCCAGTGCAACTTGTCCCAAATCTTCCTTCTTTCCCTCCCGCCTGTCCCCTCAGTCCCAACCCCAAGCGTCGCTGAGTCTTTCTAATCTTCCTTTTCTACAGACCCATCTGACCTCTCCCCTCCTCGCTAGCCCAAGCTAGGTCCCCATTCTTCCTCAGCCTCCGCTCCTCCACCCTGTAATCTTTTTATCGCCTCCCCTCCTCACACCTGGTCCGGCTTACAGTTTCGTTCTGTGACTAGCCCTCCCCCACCTGCCCAGCAATTTACTCTTAAAAAGGTGGCTGGAGCTAAAGGCATAGTCAAGGTTAATGCTCCTTTTTCTTTATCCCAAATCAGAAGCGTTTAGGCCCTTTTTCATCAAATATAAAAACCCAGCCCAGTTCATGGCTCGTTTGGCAGCAACCCTGAGACACTTTACAGCCCTAGACCCTAAAAGGTCAAAAGGCCGTCTTATTCTCAATATACATTCTATTACCCAATCTGCTTCCAACATTAAATAAAACTCCAAAAATTGGAATCTGGCCCTCAAACCCCACAACAAGACTTAATTAACCTCACCTTCAAGGTGTACAATAACAGAAAAAAGTTGCAATTCCTTGCCTCCACTGTGAGACAAACCCCAGACACATCTCCAGCACACAAGACTTCCAAACGCCTGAACCGCAGCAGCCAGGCGTTCCTCCAGAACCTCCTCCCCCAGGAGCTTGCTAAATGTGCTGGAAATCTGGCCACTGGGCCAAGGAATGCCCGCAGCCCGGGATTCCTCCTAAGCCGCGTCCCAACTGTGTGGGACCCCACTGAAAATCGGACTGTTCAACTCACCTGGCAGCCACTCCCAGAGTCCCTGGAACTCTGGCCCAAGGCTCTCTGACTGACTCCTTCCCAGAACTTCTCGGCTTAGCGGCTGAAGACTGACACTGCCCGATCGCCTTGGAAGCCCCCTAGACCATCACGGATGCTGAGCTTCCGGTAACTCTCACAGTGGAAGGTAAGCCAGTCCCCTTCTTAATCAATACGGAGGCTACCCACTCCACATTACCTTCTTTTCAAGGGCCTGTTTCCCTTGCCTCCATAACTGTTGTGGGTATTGATGGCCAGGCTTCTAAACCTCTTAAAACTCCCCAACTCTGGTGCCAACTTAGACAATACTCTTTTAAGCGCTCCTTTTTAGTTATCCCCACCTGCCCAGTTCCCTTATTAGGCTGAGACACTTTAACTAAATTATCTGCTTCCCTGACTATTCCTGGACTACAGCTAAATCTCATTGCCACCCTTCTTCCCAGTCCAAAGCCTCCTTTGCGTCCTCCTCTTGTATCCCCCCACCTTAACCCACAAGTATAAGATACCTCTACTCCCTCCTTGGTGACCGATCATGCACCCCTTACCATCTCATTAAAACCTAATCACCCTTACCCCACTCAATGACAATATCCCATCCCGCAGCATGCTTTAAAAAGATTAAAGCCTGTTATCACTCGCCTGCTACAGCATGGCCTTTTAAAGCCTATAAACTCTCCTTACAATTCCCCCATTTTACCTGTCCTAAAACCAGACAAGCCTTACAAGTTAGTTCAGGATCTGCGCCTTAGCAACCAAATTGTTTTGCCTATCCACCCCGTGGTGCCAAACCCATATACTCTCCTATCCTCAATACCTCCCTCTACAACCCATTATTCTGTTCTGGATCTCAAACATGCTTTCTTTACTATTCCTTTGCATCCCAGCCTCTCTTCGCTTTCACTTGGACTGACCCTGACACCCATCAAGCTCAGCAAATTACCTAGGCTGTACTGCCGCAAAGCTCACAGACAGCCCCATTACTTCAATCAAGCCCAAATTTCTTCCTCATCTGTTACCTATCTCGGCATAATTCTCATAAAAACACACGTGCTCTCCCTGCCAATCGTGTCCGACTAATCTCTCAAACCCCAGCACCTTCTACAAAACAACAACTCCTTTCCTTCCTAGGCATGGTTAGCGCGGTCAGAATTCTTACACAAGAGCCAGGACCACACCCTGTAGCCTTTCTGTCCAAACAACTTGACCTTACTGTTTTAGCCTAGCCCTCATGTCTGCAAGCAGCGGCTGCCACTGCTTTAATACTTTTAGAGGCCCTTAAAATCACAAACTATGCTCAACTCACTCTCTACAGTTCTCATAACTTCCAAAATCTATTTTCTTCCTCATACCTGACGCATATACTTTCTGCTTCCCGGCTCCTTCAGCTATACTCACTCTTCGTTGAGTCTCCCACAATTACCGTTGTTCCTGCCCCAGACTTCAATCCGGCCTCCCACATTATTCCTGATACCACACCTGACCCCATGACTGTATCTCTCTGATCCACCTGACATTCACCCCATTTCCCCAGATTTTCTTCTTTCCTGTTCCTCACCCTAATCATGCTTGATTTATTGATGGCGGTTCCACCAGACCTAATCGCCACACACCAGCAAAGGCAGGTTATACTATAGTACAAGCCACTAGCCCGCCTCTTAGAACCTCTCATTTCCTTTCCATCGTGGAAATCTATCCTCAAGGAAATAACTTCTCAGTGTTCCATCTGCTATTCTACTACTCCTCAGGGATTATTCTGGCCCCCTCCCTTCCCTACACATCAAGCTCGAGGATTTGCCCCACCCAGGACTGGCAAATTAGCTTTACTCAACATGCCCTGAGTCAGGAAACTAAAATACCTCTTAGTCTAAATAGACACTTTCACTGAATAAGTAAAGGCCTTTCCTACAGGGTCTGAGAAGGCCACTGCAGTCATTTCTTCCCTTCTGTCAGACATAATTCCTCAGTTTAGCCTTCCCACCTCAATACAGTCTGATAACAGATGAGCCTTTATTAGTCAAATCAGCCAAGCAGTTTTTCAGGCTCTTAGTATTCAGTGAAACCTTTATATCCCTTACGGTCCTCCGTCTTCAAGAAAAGTAGAATGGACTGAAGGTCTTTTAAAAACACACCTCACCAAGCTCAGCCACCAAAAAGGACTGGACAATACTTTTACCACTTTCCCTTCTCAGAATTCAGGCCTGTCCTCGGAATGCTACAGGGTACAGCCCATTTAAGCTCCTGTATAGACGCTCCTTTTTATTAGGCCCCAGTCTCATTCCAGACACCAGACCAACTTAGACTGTGCCTACCTCCCCAAAAAAAAACTTGTCATACTCCTATTTTCTGTCTAGTCATACTCCTATTCACCGTTCTCAACTACTCATACATGACCTGCTCTTGTTTACACTGCCAGTTTACACTGTTTCTCCAAGCCATCACAGCTGATATCTCCTGGTGCTGTCCCCAAACTGCCACTCTTAACTCTTGAAGTAAATAAATAATCTTTGCTGGCAGGACTATGCTGAATCTCCTTAAGCACTCTCCAATCAGATATCCTGAGTCGTCCCAATTCTTAGACCTTTTATACCTGTTTTTCTCCTTCTGTTATTCCATTTAGTTTTTCAATTCATACAAAACCGTATCCAGGCCATCACCAATCATTCTATACGACAAATGTTTCTTCTAACAACCCCACAATATCACCCCTTACCACAAGACCTCCCTTCAGCTTAATCTCTCCCACTCTAGGTTCCCACGCCGCCCCTAATCCCGCTTGAAGCAGCCCTGAGAAACATCGCCCATTCTCTCTCCATACCACCCCCCCAAAATTTTCACCGCCCCAAAACTTCAACACTATTTTGTTTTATTTTTTTTATTAATATAAGAAGGCAGGAATGTCAGGCCTCTGAGCCCAAGCCAAGCCATCGCATCCCCTGTGACTTGCAGGTATACGCCCAGATGGCCTGAAGTAACTGAAGAATCACAAAAGAAGTGAATATGCCCTGCCCCGCCTTAACTGATGACATTCCACCACAAAAGAAGTGTAAATGGCCGGTCCTTGCCTTAACTGATGACATTACCTTGTGAAAGTCCTTTTCCTGGCTCATCCTGACTCAAAAATCACCCCCACTGAGCACCTTGCGACCCCCCACTCCTGCCTGTCAGAGAACAAACCCCCTTTGACTGTAATTTTCCTTTACCTACCCAAATCCTATAAAACGGCCCCACCCTTATCTCCCTTCTCTGACTCTTTTCTGACTCAGCCCGCCTGCACCCAGGTGAAATAAACAGCCATGTTGCTCACACAAAGCCTGTTTGGTGGTCTCTTCACACGGACGCGTGTGAAAACCAACATGGAGAAACCCCGTCTCTACTAAAAATACAAAATTAGTCGGGCATGGTGGTGCACGCCTGTAATCCCAGCTACTCAGGAGGCTGAGGCAGGAGAATCTCTTGAATCCGGGAGGCGGAGGTTGCGGTGAGCTGAGATCACACCATTGCACTCCAGCCTGGGCAACAAGAGCAAAAGAAACTCTGTCTAAAAACAAACAAAAAAGAGGAGTCCTGAATTGTTTAAATAAGGGAGAAGAATAACATTGATAACATTGTCAGATCTGGGTTTTAGGCAGAACCTTTTTATGGGTAGCAGAGACGACCAAAACAAGTACAAGTAGTCAATCAAAAGTCACCGATATGTCCAACAAGAGAGCCTGCTCTCCCCAGGACAGAGTGAAAGCCCAGTGGCCTCACAGGCACGAGTGTCTGGGAGCACTGCAGGAAGGAAGTCAGAATCCACTGGACTCCACAACTTCCTGATGAGTGAGAAAAATTCTGGAAAACTGTCAGCATTCTCTCAGAAGGTGAGCATACCGATTGCAGAGTATTTCTACCTTTCCAAGCTTGGCAATAGTACAAAAATGAGGTCGATTCTCTTCACTCTGTGTAACTCACACCACCAGATGCTGATGCCCTTAGACTCTTTCACAGCTACAGTTCCCCAAATCATTTATATCCAGAGGTCAGGCATATGGAGCTCATTAAATTCCATACAGCAACATTGTAACCATGTGAAACTTTTTGTTTGCAGTGCAATTTAATGTTGAATTTGATTTATGAGGCACTGCACATTCTTAGTCCTAGGATGACAGCATACACTTCTACAAGCTTAAGTCATGGTTTGGGGCAAGGGGGAAGGCCTTTGACCAGATGTTGGAATTGGAAATCTGGGCTTATGCTAAGCATTTGCGAAGAAGGGAGAGCACCACATCTTAGAGAAGGTCTATCCCAACTTGACTGTTATATCACTGAGGAAACCAAGACCTAGAGAATTTCTTTTCCTTTTTCTTTTCTTTTCTCTCTTTTTTTTTTTTTTGAGACAGGGTCTCCCTCTCTTGCCCAGGCTGGAGTGCAGTGGTGCGATCATGGCTCGCTACAGCTTCAACCTCCCAGCCTCGAGCAATCCTCCCACCTCAGCCACCTGAGTAGCTGGGATTACAGATGTATGCCACCAAGTCCAGCTAATTTTTGTATTTTTTTTGTAGAGACAGGGTTTCACGATGTTGTCCAGGCTGGTCTCGAACCCTTGGGCTCAAGCAATCTGCCCACCTCTCAAAGTGCTGGAATAACAGGCATCCTAGAGAATTTAAATGACAGAGGCAGTGGCTGGAACCCAGGTCTCCTGATTCTCAGCCCAGTGGCCCTCCTTCTCTCTCCCTTGCCTCTCTACTATTCAAAATACAAAAATGAAGAGAAAATGGGCCTTTCTTATTCATGCGGAAATTCATTCCAACTTGACAGAAAGGTACCCATGTAAAATGTATTGTTAACTTCATATCCTAGTATATAAATAAGAGAAAATCAATAAAGCATTTGTTTGAAAATGACTTGCTTTCTGTTTGGTTGGTACAAAGTTATATCATATATGATATATGGCTCTGGAATCAAATCTAAAAATTTAAATTACTTGCTCAAAGCCACATGGCTGATAAGTCTAAGTCTGAATTTTTTCATCTATAAAGTGGGCATTAATAATACTTACCCCAAAGTTGAAGTGTTTCATTTAATCAACCTTTGAGGAAAATGCTTAAAAGATAGTGGCTATTGTTGTATTTTATGTGGTATCTGTTGGTTTGGGCTTCAAATACTCTTCCCGGGAGACATGCCGTACACTTATTCCCATGATGCTGTCATTGTTCAAAATATTTGGATGCACTTTTCTTCTGGAACTGCCTTCTGAGTTAGTTCTTATCTGAAGAGAAAAATTAACTCTTCATGCCTATATTTAATCAAAAGGAATGTAACTTAGTTTTATCAACTTCATTCACCAAAGCTAGCTGGGAGGTACTTTTAACCATTTGTTTAAACCAAAGCCAGATACAAAAGATGAAGATTTGCCATGATTGAGAATTTGCCCACAAAATTTTGCTTCCTTAAGTGAAGGGGATACATATTTTACTTGCTGGACCGAGCTCAGAAACCTTGGGAAAGTCATAAGCCACGGAACCAAACCCTGTTCCAGAGCTGAGAAGGTGGAAAACGGGTGTGTGGATGACTCAAGGTCAGCCCTTGGGAAGCTGGAATTCTCTGGAACTTCTGAGAAAGAAAGACAGCCTCTCAGAAACAATTACATGGGAATTTTCACAAGCTGGGAAGATCCCTGTAGCTCTAACCAGGATTTGTTCTCATTCTGTGGGAGGAATGGAAGGAAAAAGAAGTCTTTGAGAGCCCTAAGCTCCTGAACTTGAATGCAAAGCAGGCTTTGGAAGTCAGAAGAGCACTGGGCCACTCCTATCTCGTCCTTGTTCAGGATAAATGTACCCCCTATACCATGCGTTTCCCCCAACACACACCACACACACACACACACACACACACACACACACACACACACACACACACACACCACTAAAGAATAGACTTCCTGCCTCTGTGCTCTACCAGAAACTTTCAGCATCTAGGGTTAGCATCTTGCCTTCCATTTGCACCTCAAACATTTCATTCTTCACGTTGTTATCATTATCACCCTATCATTACACTGCTGGTTAATCATGATTAAAACAATAAACAAATAATTTTTCCCTGGTGAGCATAAATAATTGCAGATGAATACATATTGTTCGGGCCCATGTAACATTATATGCTATTACAGACAGTATGAGAGGATGTTTTATTGTAAGAGATAATTTTTCCTAATTGTAATGTTTACTCCCTTCAGATTCTAACCTTCTGAAGGCCCAACAAAGTCACCTAGAGGGAGTTTGCAGCTCTTGCCTGCAGTTTAGGGAAAAGTGGCTTTTCTACTTGGTGATAACTCTAAAGTGAAAATGTGAAACCAAGTGGAAGAGGCCAGGGGGTGCTTTTTCTACCAGATGTTAAAAGAAAAAGAACACGCAGGATCTAAACTCTAGAGTGAGCCTCACTGCTGGGGGTGACAGAGCAAGAAGAAATCCAGGGGTTCATTCGATTAACTTGGAAGGCTCTTACTAGGGGACACTAGTTTATTGAACAGGCTGGGTCAGTAGCTCCAGCAGGCTGGAAACAGCTCCATCTTCTTCCCTCCCTTGCCCATCACACTGGCTCTGCCAGCTCTCCCTTCCCACCTCAGAGAGGCCATCTCCGGCATATGCCAGAGTATTTTTGGTTGCACATGGCTATTAGCAGAGCCTCATTTTAAGGTATTAAAAAGCTCATCACCTGATCTATTCTCAAAATATGCAGCTCTCACCCAATCTAAGATTCCTTCCTTTCTTCCAGCTCAGTAATGAGCAGCAGGGGGAGGAGGCTGTGGAATCTTCTTTTGCTGTTTGCCCCCCTTGCTCTGTTTTCTGCTCCTCCTGCCCCGCTCACTGTGCTGCCTCTGGCATCTCCAGGGCCAGGTGGGGAGGAGGGACTAGAGGTAAATGGGTCTATTCACTGGTGACCTTGCAGTCTGCGAGGATGCCCTTTGTGTGCTAGATGCTCAAGTGCTGGCTCCTCCTCACATGAGTGACTTTTGTGGGTTCTTAAGAGACACCCCTACTCCCACCTCTCTTTCCATGGCGTGTCTTTCTTACACCACAGCATTCCCTGACCTGACCCCCACAAGGCACTCTCAGGCTGACTGTGAAGACCCCATACAGCCTCTTTTTGCTGAGATTTCTGAGCTTTGGCAGGACGTCCTCTAGGACAGGTGCCTTTCAGGATGACTCAAGCCTGCTAGTTTCTTCAGCATTCGTTTAATCCACAGGAAATATTATGCATCCATGCCATCCCTTCTCCCCTGCAAAACTTGGAAGCCAAAAGCCTTCTTACAGCCACCTGTTTTTGCTCTGCCATCAGCAGCAGCTCCAGGCAGCCTTCTGCCTTTGGGCTTTTCCAGGCAAGAGTCAGGCTTCTATCTCCAGTCACCTTCCCACACCTCCTACTCTCACCTCGCACTCCCACCCCCGACCAATGTTTGAAGGGTCTACATCAAGCTCTCAAAGGAACTTGGAGTCCAGGCTTCTGGGTGTCACTTCATGAGTTGTGCCTCTACCCCACTGAGTGAACAAATCTAAGCCACCGAACATACCCTGTGGGATTGGGGTTATGCCCCCACCCTTCCTCTCCATACACTGGGCCCCATGCATGGCAGGTGGCTCTGTTAAAGATTACTGACCATTTTTCTCTTGAGACTATTGTAGCTTTTACAGCGCTAAAAATTTTAAGCATAACACCCTTCTCTACCATCATCTTAGGCAATTTACAGAGATAAATTTATGATTTTGCATCTATAGCACATGAAGTATGGATTTTTAAAGATTCATTAGAATATATAATTCTCACATAAAAACATTTATACTCATAAACAGTATTTCCATAAAGATGATCTCATTAGATATAAAGTTTATCTCTGGTGAATTAAAGTTAATCCTGAAAATCTTGTCAACCACACATAATATATGGTACCTAATGTATCTGATACATTCTGAAACAGATAAGTGGATGAAATATTTTTAAAGCACCACATCTAGTAAGGCAGCAGAGAATTAGAAACGGATTTTATTTCTTGTTCTTCAATATAGTAATTGGTGACCTTGAGAAATGCCATTTAACCTTTTCATGTCTCAATTTTCTCATCTATAAATAGATATAATCATCACAAAGACCCGCTGTGAGCAATAGATGAGATAATCTTGAGAGCTCTAAAGCTCTACATATAACAGAAAGGCATTATTGGGATTAGGGCAGAGGATCTGCAGCTCTGCTGTTGCCTTGAACAATTTCCATGATTCTGTGACTCACTTTTACTACCTGCAAAATAGACACCGGAAGGCGTCTCTCCAGTTTTCCTTAGAAGGCAGAGTCTGTATAAGAGAAAAAAGCTGATTTCAGGGTCCAGCAGATTTAATTAGCTGCACAACCATGGGCCAACTCTCGAGTGTTAGAGAGGATAATGATGACTACCTCACAGGGTTGTGAGAATCAAATGTCTTAAAGGAGAACAGTGCTTAGTAAATAGCTAACAGTGCTCAGCCTGTACAATTGTTAGAATCAATATTGGGTTTCCACTGAAAATTACCATGGGGTTACCTTGCCGTTTACTGCCTAGGTCCAGTCATTTCTGAATAAGATTAGTTGCTATGGTTACCTTCCCAAAACACCACAGTTGAAAACGTGTTGGAGATGGGAATCGATGGTAGGAGGCTTTAGCGGAGGACACAAAGCAACTTCAGCCACTGAGACATTTTAATACATGTAAACTCCTTCCCTTGGAAACCTAAGTCACATTTTGCCAAAATGGAAATGAACTCAGGAAGTGGACTTTCAGAAGTTCTGCATTTGGCCAGCCTCCTTCCCCCATCACCAGGCCCTCAAGGACAGGTGCGTTCTGGCCCTGAACCAGCTCCAGAGCATCTCAGTTTCTTACCCCAGGATCTGGCAGTTGGAAAGATGTTGGTTGCCAGGCAGAATTCATCAGATTCACTTCCCAGATGCTATCGCTTCTGATGCCGAAAGAAAAATAGGTTGCCCAGCAATTGAGGTTGGAAAGGACAGGTGTAGCTGAGAAATGCACAGTGTTGCACAGAAAACAATAATGGGTTATTTTTGTTAAAATTCATTAGCATGCATATTTGTATATTCCAGGGGTCCTCACATCCCGCAAACATACTTAGTCTCTGGAGGGGCTAGCACTAACATCCCCGGTTAAAGTGTCCCCCACAGGAGTGTTATAAATGGTATTTGATCTGTCAGAATCAGTCACAGCTCCAACAGCTCTCAGCAAATGAATACAAGTTGGTCTGACCCTGCTTCCTGTTTCCAACTAAAGCAAACCGAAGACCTGAAGAGGCCTCACAGGCAAGAGTATTTTGCACCCGCTCCTAGTGAAAAGACTCTTTTCTGCCTGGTCTTTTTTCCCAGACATCCCAAGGAGCTGTCCTGCTCTTATTTGAAATTCAAACCAGAAGGAAGTCACCTCCGCAAATGCCAAGTGTCCAGCCTCCACTTCCATGATGATTCAGCACCACCTAGGGGCCATTGTCATTCATTTCTTGCCAGGCTCATTTCTTGCCATATTCATTTATTGCCACAATAGAATTCCTTTTTAAGTATTGCAGCTGCACCCGCCACCGCCCCCTCGCCACTGCCATCCACATAAGAAAAGTACAGAAGCTTCTCTACACACATTTTTCAAGACTCGGTTCCAGATCTACTTCAGCTGGAAACTCTGGTCCACTAGCTTAGCACACAAGGATCACTGCTGAGGAGTGTGGTTCACATTTACAATACACCACGGGGACTTCGCTTTATTATTATAAGAACTGCTATAAGCATCTACTACATGACAAGGCATATATAGTTATTTCTAATGTATACAATAGTCCTTCAAATTGGGTAGTAATCCATTTTACAGATGAAGAAACTAAGGCTCTGAGAAGTTAAGCAATTTATCCAGATCCCAAACCAGGGTTGACTTACTCTTTTCACTGTAAAACGCTGTCTCTCTAATCTTACTGTGCGTAGAGCCAACATGGCAGTGAGGGTGCTCATTTTAATGATTCTAAAGCAGAACATTCAAATAAATCTTGTCCTTCAAAGAAGTCACTTTGAAGCCTATTCTGTCATGCCAATAGCTAATGCTCATAACAATTGAGTCTCTGCTATAGGAACTGCCTTCAGAGCTATTTGTGAGCTGCACGACCTAATCTCATTACCTTAAAGTATGTTATATGTTTGAAAAAAATATGGTAGATACCATTGGAGGACTGAAGGATGTGCCATCCCAAAATTTGTATGTTGATTATTTCTAATGGAAAACAATGGAGAAATTCTAGTTTCAGAAAGGAAGAGCTGATCTATATCTTCCTGTATGGAGCAAGGGATAAAGAATCCTCTGGGACGGATACTCTTCGAAGGCCCTGAGATTTATCCATACCAGGATGAGAAAATAGCCCTTATCACCAGAGACTTGGAGGCTGCAAGGAACCCGAATAAACAAACTTACGAACAAAATAACCTTTATCTTCCACTTGCTTTACACCCCCTCATATATCTCCTGTGACTCCCCTAGAAAATTTTACTGTCCTAGCCAGATTTTCTTTCTCCTGTTGTTTCTTCTCAAATTTATCATTCTTTGTCTAAAAAGTATAAGAATATCTTACTTTGGCCTCTTGTTCAGACTTCACTTTCTTGTGAAGATCCCCAAGTACATGTAAAACTAGTAAAATTTATACATTTTTCTCTTGTTAATCTGCCTGCTGTCAATTTAGCTTCTACATCCAGCTGACCAGCCCACTAAGAGCTAACAGAAGGGTTGAAGTTGATCTCTGGTTCCCCGGTACCATGCTGTTCAAGCAGTGTAATCTCCCAGGTCCCTCCTCAGTAAATTTCGATTCAGTATCACTGGGACAGGCCCAACAGTTTGTGGTTTTGTCAAGTACATGTGACTGTAATCACCAGGAAAGCTTGAGTAACACTGGTGCGATGATACAAGCATGAGCTCTGGGGTCAGAAGGACTTGGGTGCAGATCTGGCTCTGCCTTTTTTCTAGTTGTGCACCCCTAGGAAAGGCAATTAAGGCCTTGAGTATCAGTTTATTCATCTATAAAATGAATATTAGTAATCATTAATAACCACCAAACAGGGGTGTGAAGACTGAATGATATAATGGGTGTGAAATGCTAGCACAGTGCCTGGCACATAGTAGGCACTTAATACATGGTCATTACTATTGTTAACTTAATCACCCACTCAGCTTAATGAATTTGCCCTATGTGACTTTTTGTTATTTCTAAAAATTAAATCCACAGTGAAAGGATATGAGGATACATAAAATACACTATCATAACGTATATTATACTTCATTAAAAAGTAAACAACTAAAGATCCTTAGGAAAAGTGATAGATGATAGATAGCCAGATAGGTAAATTTTAGGATAGGAAAATGTTCTAGAAATGAAAAACCAAACATTTAAAACAGTTTAACACTCAGGAGAATAACAAGTTTCTAGAAATACACACACACACACACACACACACACACACACACACACACACACACACACTGATACAAAAGGTAGAAACAATCCAAGGGCCCATCTGCAGATAAACAAAATGTGGTATATACATACAATAGAATATAATTCCATCTTTTTAAAAGGAAGGAAATTCTTTTTTTTTTCTTTGAGACAGGGTATCATTCTTTCCCCAGGCTGGAGTGCAGGGGCATGATCATGGCTCACTGCAGGCTCAATCTCCTGGGCTCAAGCCTTTTTAATTTTCTTGTAGAGATGGGGGTCTTGCAATGTTACCCAGGCTGGTCTTCAACTCTCAGCCTCTCCATCTTAGCCTCCCAAAGTGCCCGGGCGAAAGAAATACTGCCACATGCCATGACACGGATGAGCCAGAAAACACTACGCTAAGTGAAAGAAGCCAGTCAGTAAAGAATAATACTGAGCAATTCCACTCTATAAGGTGTCTAGAGTAGTAAAATTCATAGAGACAGAAAGTAAATGGTGGTTGCCAGGCACTGGGGGAAAGGGGAAATGGGAGTTACTGTTTAATGTGTCAGTATTTCCGTTTTGCAAGTTGAAAAGATTCTGGAGCTGGAGGGTAGTGATTGTTATATAACAATGTGAATGTACTCACTGCCACTGAACTGTACATTTAAAAATGGTTAAGATGGTAAATATTATGTTGTGTATTTTATCACAATTTTAAAAAAAATTAAGAAAATCAAGATGATATCAAATCACAGTTAAATATGAGTTTCAGAAATAGCTTGTTCGGTTTGTGTTGCTACAAAGAGCCCCATGTGAGTGAAATACTTCTAAGTGTACAGATTACATCCTTTGGAAAAATGAGCAAGTAAATTCACAAGTAATTTTGCATCTGTATTCTCAAACAATGTGACCGCACTGCCTTAGTTGCCTGTTTTTCTTTCAAACTATTCATTTACAAGATCACTCAAGAAATGTTACTCAGCTAAGTGGGAGGCTATGACTGGAAAACCTGTTCTGCCTTAACCCTGGCCTGGGGGATGCTTTGAAAAATGGCTGTGGTGCATGGAGCACTCTAAGGAAAACACTGAGGGGTGTTATCATCCTGTCTTAAGGCACTGTGATCTGTGCAGAGCTCTGCCCTGGGGCAGCTGGGCAAAGAGCAGGTGCATCCAAGGCTTGGCCTGTGGCCTGGATGACGTGGAACCCCCGTTACAATAGCCTGCAACAGCACAGGAGTAGTGGCTGTCGGGGGAGCTTCATCTGAACCCAAGCTGGTGAACGGGGCTTTGCCCCTCTGTTTTATTTATCTTTAATTGATTTTCTTTAACACTAGGTTTTCTTCAGGCCTCACATTTAATAAGATGGAGTATTTTTCTGATGAGTGTAAGCAGCATCTGAGCACTTCAAAGGTTCTCGAATAGAATAGCATTGGCTCTTTGTCTAATTTAACTTAAAAGTTATGACGAGGTGAAAGCTCATTTATATATTTAATATATTTCATGTCTTTCTTATTTATTTATTTTTTGAGACAGAATCTCACTCTGTCGTCCAGGCTAGAGTGCAGTGGCATGATCTCGACTCACTGCAAGCTCCACCTCCCAGGTTCACACCATTCTCCTGCCTCAGCCTCCCAAGTAGCTGGGACAACAGGCACCCGCCACCACGCCCAGCTAATTTTTTGTATTTTTAGTAGAGACGGGGTTTCACCATGTTAGCCAGGATGGTCTTCATCTCCTGACCTCGTGATCCGCCCGCCTCGGCCTCCCAAAGTGCTGGGATTACAGGTGTAAGCCACCGTGCCCGGCCTATTCTGCATTTTTTAAGCAAGGAAGCAAGCAAGCAAGGAGGAGGGAAGGAGATGGATTGCCTGAAATAATTGGGTGAAAGTTTGATGCTATCTTCCCTTCCCTCTTTAGGATTATGTGGCCCCTGGTGTAAAGAGATTGCCTGAGAGGAGCCTGGCAGAACTGTAGTGAAAGCATGGGGAAGTGTGGTGAAAACTGGATGCAAGGAGAACAAATGGAAAATAAAGGCAGGTGTGTTGGTTTCTCCCTTCCTCTGCCTCAGAAGCTTTATTGCTGCCTAGAGAAACCTGCTCAGGGTGGGGTGACATGTAAAACCAGCCAGCAGTATACACAGGTGTTCCTAGTGGGTCTTAATAACATTAAGTGTCTGTAACCCTGAGTGAAATTCTTTTTAAATTCTTTTTTCTTTTTTGAGACATGGTTTCACTCTGATATCCAGGTTGGAGTGCGGTGGCACAATCTTGGCCCACTGCAGCTTCGACCTCCTAGGCTCAGGCGATCCTCCCACCCCAGCTTTCTGAGTAGTTGGGACCACAGGTGCATGCCACCACACCCAGTTAATTTTTCTATTTTTTGTACAGGTGGGGTTTTGCCATGTTGCCAGGCTGGTCTCAAACTCCTGGGCTCAAACGATCCTTCTGCCTTGGCTTCCCAAAGTGCTGGGATTACAGGTGTGAGCCACTGTGCCCGGCCCTGAGGGAAATTCTTTAAAAGCAAAATTCACAAACTTTTAAAGCAAAGTATCCAATTTTTATTGATTCTATAACATATATATGTGCATATATTGTAGTATCTTTATCAATCAGGATTTACTTGCTGATAACAGAAACCACTGCAACCTAGTTTAGACACAATGTGCTTTTGTTAGTTTCTGGCCATGCACAGAAGCCTCCTGCTTACAAGATGAATGGAAAGGCTGAAGGAGCAGCCTTTAGTCTGACTTCCAGGAATGACTCTCAGAACACTATCACATAACTGGCTGTCCAGAAGAGATGCTATCTCTGCTTACAGCCTGGAAGCTGGAAAGTCATGAAGATGCTGCCCATTGCTGGCTCCAGAGCCACATTATTTTAGCCACAATCCCCACCAGCAAAATGGATGCTCCTCGTCCTGCCACACCACACCCTGGGGTCTCTGTTATTGCTCTTCTAGAAAAATAAAATGCTCTGTGGCTGTTTGTTGGCAGAAACATTACCTCTATCTCATTTGGCCTTCCCAGTTTCAAGTAGGTACATCTGCATAGAGGAAGCTAAGTCACATTTGGAATTCAAGCTGAAAGGGGCTCTGGGAAATGTAGGCTTCAGCTTTTTTTGGATCCACCAGTGAGTCACGGCACACCTGTGTGCACAAATGGGTTACAAGTGTGTTAAGAGATAGCCATCTTGGACCGGGGGTGGTGGCTCACGCCTATAATCCCAGCACTTTGGAAGGCCAAAGGCGGGCAGATCGCAAGGTCAGGAGATCGAGACCATCCTGGCTAACATGGTGAAACCCTGTTTCTGCTAAAAATACAAAAATTAGCCGGGCATGGAGGTGGGCACCTGTAGTCCCAGCTACTCGGGAGGCTGAGGCAGGAGAATGGCTTGAACCCAGGAGGCGGAGCTTGCAGTGAGCTGAGATCACGCCACAGCACTCCAGCCTGGGCGACAGACCACGACTCCGTCTCAGGAAAAAAAAAGAGATAGCCATCTCCTGCCTTCTGGGCAGCCACTGCCCTCCTGGCCAGGAAGCTCCACACCTAGGTCTCCCTACAAGTCAGCGCAAAACAGGGTGGAGTCTGATGGTCCACCTCTCAGGCCCTGTGAATGAAGAGTATGAGAGAGATCTGTCCTTTGCTGCCTGGCTGTGATGTGCTGTGTGAAGACAAGGCTGTGCCACGTCCCTCGCCAGCTACCTAAGTGGCTTGCTGCTGAGTGAGCCACTGACCATCATAACTGCTGGGTAATTTCATGGAAAAGTGCAGTCAGTTGGGATTTGAGGAATGCCAGCTCCTCATAGGTAGTTCCAAGTAGATGCCCCAAATCTCTATCTTACAGAAACTTCTATTTGCTTAGAGATGTCCAAGCCAGTTGCAGGGTGACTACCCTCACAACACATGACATTCTATAAATTGGAATGTCATTGTTATTTGGAAATACTTGATATGAATAGTTCAATTGCATTTGAGGTCCATGTGTATTATCACAAAAAAAATACCATCACATTTTGTCAATGACAAGAAGAGTTGTTAGGCTATGTATATATGAAATTTTCAATTTTTGAATGTTTTTTAAAAGTTCTAAACTGTTTAATCAGCTTTGTGTAAAGAAAGTTTCTATTCAGTGGTAACTACTGAGAATTCGGAGAGCTGGTAAATGTCTCAATCAAGAATTGAGCTGGGCACAGTAGCCTGTACCTATAATCAGTCCTATCTACTTGAGAAGCTGAGGCAGGAGGATCCCTTGAGCCCAGGAGTTTGAAGCTAGCCTGGGTAACATAGCAGGGCCCCATCTTTAAAAATCTAAAAATTAAAATTAAAAAATAATAAAAAAGAATTGCATGTAGCTATTTCAAGAATACAATTTTATATCTTGTATCTAGAGCAAGATCAACCTTTTCATTAGGGATTCTGAAAAAAATATTTGGATATCTCACACAAAATGAGCATTTAATATATTTCCTAATTTTTTTCTATGTGTGCCATAGATCAGTGGTTGTTTAGGGGACAGAGAAAAAAGCAAAGACAGGAACCTTTTAGAGGTGATAGATATATTCATTATCTTGATTGTGGTTTCACAGATGTGTGTGTGTGTGTATGTACGTCAAAACTGACCTAACGGTACACTTTAAATATATGCAGTTTACTGTATGTCAATTATACTATAATAAAGCTATTTTTTAAATTATGGGAGAAGAAAACCCCACAAAGTACATTCCAGAAAGGTATTAATTTACAGTCTACCAACAGCTTATGCAAGTGCTTGCCTCATTATACCTTCATCAGCACTGTAATTCTTAAAAGAAAAAAAACTGCTAATTTGAAAGGCAAAACCATCTCTTCTGTTTCAATGTGCATGTCTTTACAAGTAGACTGAACTTTTTTCATGTTCATCAGCTCTTTGCCCATTTTTCTTTCATTGACACAAAGCAATGAAGAATGCTAACACTAGAATGCTAGTAAAAGAGGGATGCCTTTTTATCTGCCAGGTTAACTAGTACAAACTGAAAATTACTACCCTAAAAGGTGGTCATAAATATTCACAAATTTGTCAAATCCTTTGAAGAGGAGTCATAATTAGACACTCAAAACTGATGCACACTCAACATTTAAAGACAAAACCTTAGTTCCTTTAATAACAGAATATCTGCATCTTGTTCTGAAGCTTATAAGGTTAAATCACTTGGCCAAGTATACAAAACTAGAGGTTGTCCAATCTGGAACCAGAAGCCTGATCTCCTGGGACACAAGCTGAAGAGCAGGTGAGGATGAAATGATGTGGAACCAATGGCATAGCTGAGACTTCAGGAAAGGAAAATTCTTTGAGCCTTATCTTCCTCGTCCATAAAATGAGGGAAGTAACAATTAAATAATCACTAAATTTCCTTTCAGCTCTAACCTTTTCTAAATGCAAGCTGGATAAATTGATACAACCTGGCAGCTGTTGTCATATTGCTATAGTTTTTGTATTTTTTTTTTTTTTTTTTTTTTTTTTTTTTTGAGACAGAGTCTCGCTCTGTGGTCAGGCTGGAGTGCAGCAGGACCATCTTGGCTCACTGCAATCTCCACCTCCCGGGTTCAAGCGATTCCCCTGCCTCAGCCTCCCCAGTAGCTGGGATTATAGGCATGCACCACCATGCCCGGCTAATTTTTTGTATTTTAGTAGAGATGGGGTTTCACCGTGTTGGCCAGGATTGTCTTGACCTCCTGACCTCATGATCAGCCCACCTCGGCCTCCCAAGTGCTGGGATGACAAGCACGAGCCACCGTGCCCAGCCCAGTTTTTGTATTTTCTTATAAGCCTATGTTAGCTCACATTCAAACTCCAGCCCTCCCCTACTCTGTGTAGCCTTGGGCAAATACCTATCCTGATTTTAGAGATGAGGAAGTGAAGACACAGAGAGAATCATAATAGCAGCTACACCTCAAAGGGTTCAGATCATGAAAAGGCAGCACACAAATGAATACTTAGCAGTGCCCGGCACATACTAAGATGTCTAGTAATTGCATGTCTGTGTGCTTGGGGGCAGAATAACACCAACTTGCATGGAACCCATGCTGTAAGTTCCACAAGAGACCATGCCTATTCATCACTATATCCCCAGCGAGCCAAATACTAGGTAGACAGGCATATTGAACAAAATAGTTGAATTTGGACAAATATTTGAACAAAGAATGAACACACATAATCGAAAAAATAGTCCTCAGGTCTGATTCACAACACAATTCAGCTATATATTTAATTTAAAAGACTTCATGAAATTGTGGGAGGGGTAAGGGGGAAAAAAGAAAGAGAAAGGAAGGACCCCAACAACAGTAAGACTCCTTACCATCTACATCTCATCTGTGTTTCTCTTATTATAACCCATGAAATATCTCTACCTGCAGTGCTTATTACAAATACAAATACCATCCTCACTCATTTTCAACAGCTACCTCACTAATTCTTACACACTTGACAACTTTAGAACTTTGTCCAATTATTATTTGGCCAATGCTTGAAAATGATTTAAAGGCATAACCCCAAGTCTTAGAACAGCTTAGAGCAGGAGTATAAATATTCAGATTCCAAAGACAAGGACTACTACCCACATCAACCTGCCTGTGACACCTCACAACTAAGAAACCAGTTTTTAGTAGATCAAAGATGAAAAGGTGAAACGTACAGCTCACAAATCAAATATCTGGGCACTAGAGGGAATAGGTGTGGTTGGAAAAATAACCCTTCTGGAATTTTCTCAGCATATTTTTAAATGGCAGTAACAACATTTCTTCCACTCCTAAAATTAATTTTAATAGTGAACTGAGGTAACATTTTTTGTCTTAGCAGATAGCTCAATTCCATTGACAACTGACTTGTCATCTTTATTAATTTTTACAAATGCATGTCTCCTAATATGAAAAGGTTGATTTTCACTTTATTGTGTGCTTTGCACATTTACAGCAGCAACAGGAAGAGCTTCTACTGAATAGATTTTAGTCTTCAAAAATGTGACTGCATCTTCCATCTCTAGTTTGTCCATCTCCCAGTTATTGACCTTACCAAAGAAAGAGGAAAATAATCAGTTTGTGAGACGATACTAACAAAAGAGCTAGTTTAGAGATCCAAACATAGTAAAGTAACATGAGGACAATAGCTTTTTGAAAGCAAATGTGACCTTATAACTACTCATATTTTAAAGGCATAATAAGACTACATGCTAGGGTTTAAGAAAGCTTTAACTGTGAAAATTATACAAATTTTAAAGGTCCTCTAAATGGTGCAAAAACTGCTTTCTTGAGAAAATCTTCCTTAGAATATATATAATCAGCAATATAAAAAACAAAGTCTTAAATAGTAGCCCACTAAGAGAAAGGAGTCATCTTAATCTCAATAGTCCACACGTAATCCATTTCCAATACTAAAGTATAATAATAGAAGACTTGGAATGTTTACATCTTACATTATGCGCAGGACCAAATGAGTGGCATTTAGATAGATTCCAACAGCAACATATATATAAATGTATTTGTAAGGTTCCTACTACCTAGAAACATCAGAAGAGGCTGTTCAAGAGAAGCTGTGGGGTACAAAATAAAATTGAAGCATAAGAGGGAAGAGAAAGACCCATCTTCTTAAAACCATCCAGCCTTTTCTGGCAACAAACATCCTGTAACAGCTTCACACAGGCCATGAAAACAAAGCTTTAACATCTTTCCTTCCCTTGTTCAAGATAACCTGGAAATTAAATATGGTTTTGTGTATCTTAAATATGAAAATATATTATTTGCATTCTTCTTCTTAGCAAAAAAGGATTAAAGCTGACCAGAACAACATTTGTAAAAGCTCTAGTAATGACAGTAATCAGCTGAGCAGAACCCAAATCGTGTACTAGCAATGTTCTTTTTCAAAGAAAACAGTAACTAAAGCACTCATTCCAATAATGCTGACAATTCCTCTAGTCCTAGTAACCAGTCTCAACCACAAGATTCCTGGCAGCTGTTAGAATGTACATCAGTAATTAAAGAATATTTCATTTGCATTTTTTTCTCACCAAGATCACATGAAAACCCATTGCATTCAAATGCCGCATTTTCATAGCAAGGAATCCTCTGGGGTGGCTTGAACCCAAACAATAAGCAGATCTGGAAACACATAGCACAGCTACTCTGAAAACAAAAATAAACAAAACAAGAACAGTTATTGATATTACTATTTAGTCTTGCTGCATTCTTGTTCTCTGGAGATTTCCAAGTTGAGCTCTCCACCGACCACAATCCTTGATATTCCTGTCTTAGTCCTTCACTTCTTTTACTTGGCCTCTGCAGATATTCCACTATACAAGGCTACTTTATAAATCAAAAATATACAACATTATACACAGTTACCTCTCAGTTCCCTTTAAGGATGGCTACATTTTTGAAGAGGAAAATTTTCAGACATGAAAGCACCAATTTTAAGGGTTTTCTGTGTAGTGCTGATTTCTGATCTGAGTATAATTATTTATTCTACCAGTAGTAGTAACGGTGTAAATAATACCAAATAGTAAATGCTCTTCTTACACATATCATCTCCCAGAGAAAGCAGCATTTAAAAAACAGAAATAGGAGTTTAAATACAAGAAAGAAAACACCAAGAGAAAGGCAAGACTGTTAAAATAAAATCTGTAAATATAACGAAAATGTGGAAGGTGTAATTTGTTTTTTCATTGTTCCTGGCACTTTGGAAATACTAAGTTTACTGGGAGAAAAAAAGAAAAAAAAAAGACATTTATATCCTTACTGCCTTCACCTATACTCTGGCTGTTATAAGACAAATTTTATGTTTTTAAAGGAATGCTCACATTCTTCACTTCTCATGACTTTATGCTGAGAACAACTGTTATTTTATTATGCCAGAATAGCGGAGTACCCGAAAAAGAAAACTGATCTTGGAATGAGGTCAGAGAGAAAGCCTCTTCTGAGGGGAGATGGGTAGCACTAATAGGAAAGACAGCGGTTGAAAAGATGGCCAAGAAATAAGCTAGATGCATTCAGAAAGAGGTGAAAGTCACAGAACTGTGTGTGAATGAAGAGGGATGGGCAGATAAGAGCTTGGATCCCTACAGATTTTTTTGTATGTTTCTATCATATTTATGTGTGTGTGTGTGTCCAGTGGAGTTAACAGAAGATACAAGTTCCTTGGGGTCAGGATCCATGTAGCAGAGCTTTTACATAAAGGGTAACTGACCCACGGGTGTGTGCAATGATGGCATGATCTTATGCATCTACTGAAGAGGCAGGATGTTCTCTCATGGTATAGCATCATATTTCTCCCCAGAGACACTCTATTTGTAATGTGTGAGCCAAAGAAACAACTTAGGATTAGCTTCAATGTGCTCTAACCCATACAAATACAGTTTAATTAAAAAACTACGGTTTCTCTACCTCTGGAAAAGTCTTGGTGGTAGAGCAAAATATTTATTGGGTATTTGATTTTTGTAGAAGCCTCGAGTCTTTATTCTTTATGATCACTATTATATTATCTTGTCCAAAGTCTACACTGCATTGATAGTTTCAATTATATTAATATTGTTTTATTGAACTATAGCTTCAAAACCTAATTTTAAAAAAATGTCTGTCTCATTAAATGACCAATACTGTAGTCCATTGTATTCAACCATAACGTCCACATTTACACTTTCTAAGGAGTACATTGATGGATGACAAGTCTCTTGGTGTGCTGCAGGCTCCATACAAACATCAAGTCTTAGATTTACTACTGCTATTTAATATGAAGTCTTTTAGAATTAGGATTTTAATTCAGAAAGCCCAGCAAATGAAATATATGTAAGCAACCTTTGAATATCTGTAGCAGAAGTTGTATCCACATCAGAAAGTGGTAGCACTTGATTCCTGTTAGTGTCCATTCTGATTTCAAAATCTGAAAGGAAAGAATTGATATTAATTTTTCAAACATTCCTCCAAGTGACTTTCTTTTTCTTTTCTTTTCCTTTTTTTTTTTTTTTTTGAGATGTGGTCTCGCTCTGTCATCCAGGCTGGAGTGCAGTAGTGTGATCTCAGCTCACTGCAGCAACTTCCCAGGTTCAAGCAATCCTTTTACCCCACCCTGTTGAGTAGCTGGGACTACAGGGGCATGCCATCACGCCCATCTAAGTTTTGTATTTTTTTGGTAGAGACAGGATTTTACCATTTGGTCAGGCTGGTCTTGAACTCCTGAGCTCCAGTGATCCACCTGCCTCGGCCTCTCCACATGCTAGGATTACAGGCGTGTGCCACCGTGACCAGCCCCAAGTGATTTTCTGTTTCAAAATGTTTAATAGTACTACCAATAATGATAATAGCAGTAGCTAAAATATATTGAGAGCTAACCATGTGTCAGATACTAGTCTTGGGATTTTAGACACATAAAAATGTGTAGAATTTCATTTATTGGTCACAAGAATTTTATGAGGCAAGAATCAGGCCAGTTCCAGAGGCAATGCTGCACTACACTAAACTGCTGCCACAAATACCTATTTTTTTGGTCAGAAAAAAAGGAAAATAAATACAATAAAATGAAAGGAAATCATATAATGTCCCATACCAATATGATAATTGTGTGGCAAGTGCACATCCTTTGAGAAGTGTCCTTCACCTCCCAGAAGGCTGCTCAGCACCTCTGCCACCTTTGCATTTGTATGTGACGATGGCAGCTCCCGCGGCAGCTGTGGGAGTGACAAGGCTATGTCCCTCAGATAGACAGTATCATCAAGTTTTAGACAAGTATCCAAAGTATGCAGCTTGTAAGCATTCTTCATGTCATCTAAAAGATGAAAAAGAGAGTATATCATTAAGAAGAAATAAATGCAACATTAAAAAACTATATTAGTATATATTTAGTAATAGTTATAAAATAATAAATATATACATAAATGCACTTGTATTTCTAATTATCTCTTTCTTATCACAAGGACTCTCTCTTTGTCTCCCTGGTTTCCACAGGGTCTAAATCAAAGCCCTGCACTTGATAATGTTTTAAGGCTTCAAATATCTTTAGAGGTCATTTAGTCTAAACTCCTCAATTTATGGATAAGGAAATGCCCAGGAAAGTTAAAAAGCCTCGTAATTAAGGCAAAGTTGGAACTAGAATCCAGGTTTCCAAGGTTCAAGGCTGTTTCTCCATTATTACACTGCCTGAAAAACCAGCACGTGGTATTATTGACTGACTCTCTACAACTCAACTTTGGGATTTTATAACATTTATTTATTTATGTTTTAATTCTGAACTACTCTATTCTCAGACACATCGTCAAATTTTGTACATCTACCTGAATATTGCTTTGCCTTATTTAATACTAAAGACTAAAAGTCAACAGTTAATTTGGTTCCAAGAGTAAATGAACTAATTAATTTGGTGGCTATTTGGTTTCTTGATCTAACAGGTGTTCCCTCATCACAGGCCAGGAGTGACCAAGTGTTTACAGCTGCAAAAATTGACTTAGGTTGGCTTCAAATGTGATAAGTAAGGATTAGGAATTAAAACAGCTCTGATCAAAGCATAAAGAACAGCCTGAACAGTTAGCCTTTGTATAGAAGGATAGAGTATAAATAAAAGGAATAATGATGCATTCCTTATTTTTTTCTACATGTAGGACTTGTCATTAAAGAAGGGTCTGTAGGTTTGCTGCTTTGAAGCACTATCCTTTGACTTCACCATTATCAGCCCTTTCCACAGCAACACCTGCTCTGCAAATTTCAACTAACACTGCTCCAACTAAGACCCCATTCAGAGTCATATGGTAGCTAGTGGTAGTGCAGAATTGGTCACAATTGGTGACCAATTCTGCACTAACATCCTACCTGATGTCAGCAGCTCACTGATGATGTCTTTTTGCAGAAGCTGATTAAAAGGAGCCAGGGGAAAGTAATTCATCAAGCAAAATGAATATACTGCATCCAATAAGTTTTCAGAAGAAATAGTGTGAAGATAACCAGTCAGAGCACTAGCCATAACTTCCACGAACTGTCTGGGGAACAAAGAAAAGTCAGTTTCCCAACATATACAGAAGGCCAATATCTGTAACGATTCCAAAGAAAAGAGATAAGAAAATCAGCCTTGCAAGTAAGTATCCACACATCATTCTGGACAGTTGGTTATCTCATAATAAGTGTATACATTCAATAAATGTTGGCTATTGCTGTATGTCTTGCACGAGACAAACATTTTATAGACTTTAACTCATTTAACTCACACTAAAAAACTCCATGGGTATTACTATTATTCTCCTCATTTAAAAAAATGGGTAAACAGGCTTAGAGATTGAGTAACTTGTCTAAGAACACACAGACAAGGAAGTAGCAAAGGCAGTATTAGAACATAAGGTGTCAGGCTCCAGAACCTTTTCATAATTATGCTAGATTTTCTATAACGCCTGGACCACCACTACAGTTTTATAACCAACTAAAATTATCTAGTTATCAATACTATGGGTTAAAAGAACTGCAAGCCTAATCCTACCACCCACAGCTAATGGTACACAGTATAACGTGGTTAAGCACAAATGAAGACAGAAAAGATCAAAATCAGGGGCAGTCGCTTGCCCAGAGTGACACCACTAATAAATGGTAGATACCCTTTGAACACACGTCAATCTGATTCTCAGGGCATATGATACATATAGTTATATAAAAAAAGAAATACATGCAAAGTACTGTGATCTCGCAGAGGAAAGAAAATAAACAGAAGCTTTTGGGAGGAGAATTTGAATAAGTGGAAAAGATGGAATAAGGGAAGAAGATTTGAGCACAGCCCTGAAAGCACATGCTACTTGCCTGATAGTGAATAACTGGTGAGATGAAGGTACAGAGGAGTGTTTCTTAACAGCTGGGGCAAATATGCCTGGACACAAGCCCTTGTTAACAATGAGACTGAAATCAACTGAGAGGTCCATGGGTAGGGGAAGAAGTGTTGGGGAGGATGAAGGGCTGTGATAAGGCCAGGAAAACGATAGGAATTATGATGAAATGGGAGGAATATAACAGATCATATACGCAATAGCAAGGCAGCACGTCTGAAATTAGTACTGACTGCTTTTGGAACATGCAGTGGGATGCGGGGGCAGGGGATGGTGTGGACAAGGAAGTTGGGAGCCTGGGTAATGATCCCCCCTCTGGTCTTCTCTTGCCCCACTCCTCACCCTGTACCTCATGCTTCAGCAGCCCAAACTGTGTGCTGTTCCCTGCATGTGCTCTGCTGTTTCTTTCCTCCAGGTCTTGCATATAGAGGGCCTTTCACTTGGAATGTTCTTTCCTGCTTATCTTTCCATGGTAAAACCCCATCTCTCCATCTTTTAAGATCAGCTCAGATACCAACCCCTCCAGGCAACACTGCCTGATATCCCCTGACCCTCCTCTTCACCAGGCTGGCATCCTGATATATCCTTCCTCTATTTCCAAATATCCTAGATGATATGGTTTGGCTGTGTCCCCACCCAAATCTCATTTTGAATTGTAGCTCCTATAATTCCCTTGTGTTGTGAGGGACCCAGTGGTAGATAGCTGAATCATGGGGGTGGTTTCCCCCATACTCTTCTTGTGGTAGTCAATAAGTCTCACGAGATCTGATAGTTTTATAAGGGGAAACCCCTTTTGCTTGGCTGTCTCTCTTGTCTGCTGCCCTGTGAGATGTGCCTTTCATCTTCTGCCATGATTGTGGGGCCTCCCCAGCCATGTGGAACTGTGAGTCCATTAAACCTCTTTCTTTTGTAAAGTGCCCAGTCTCGGGTATGTCTTTATCAGCTGCGTGAAAACAGACTAATATGCTAGATCACTCGAATTTTCATGCTATATTTAACTGCCAATTTACATATCTACCTTACCCATTACACAGAATCCTCTGGCAAGAAGGACTGTCTTATTCATCTTTCTCCTAAGTGTCCAGGTGCTTGGCAAATGCTGACTAAACGAACAAATAAACTTTGATGAGGAAGACAGGAGGACGAGCTTGTCATTGGAAAACGATGAGTCAAGAAAAATAGCTGACTTCCAGAATTACTGAACTTGAGACACTTCTGGGATGTGCAGTGACCATATGCAACCCACAGAGACTCAGGTCTGGAGTTAAGGAGCACACTAATGACCACAGATGCAAATGTGGGATTATCCATAAGGTGGTAAATACAGATCAAGAAGAGAAGAAACCAAAGGACCAAAACAACAGAGCTTAAACGTTACATATTTGTTCCTTGGGTTCAAAGCCCAGCAAGATACTCTGGATTTAACACCCTCTCCCCGATGGGCCATCATAAATGAAATAATGATTAATGTATAGCATGTGGGTATACAATAAGCCAGAATTCCTACCACTCTCCTATCTAACCATCTCTTCTAGTCAACTCTCTTCCCAAATACTTTGAGTTATTCTGCTTCCAAAACCTTTGCTACTCCAGATAAGTTGCCATCTTCCTTTCTCCTTCCTCCATAAAGCACTTACTTGGTGCCTACCATGTACTGCCTTCCTCTGGATATACAACAGAGTTGTTCTCATAAATGGTCTAGGAAGAGCAGGGAATACAAACTTCTTTTTTTATAGCCTTCAAAATACCAAATCCAGGCAATTGTACATTCATGGGCATTCAGGAAATGGTGACTAATTAATCTTGCTATATCTGCCATATTGCCCCTACTTCTCCTTTGGAGAAATGTTGAGGTGGGAGGCTTAGAATTAGGTAAGGGTTTCTCAATCTCAGCACTACTAACATCCGGGGCTGGATAATTCCTTATTGTGAGGGGCTATCTTCTGCATAGTAGGATGTTAGCGGCACCCCTGGCCTCTGTCCACTAGAGGCCAGTAGCACAGACCTCCCTCCTGTTGTGGCAACTAAAAACCATCTCCATACCTTGCCAAATGTCCCCTGGGAGGCAAAATCATCCCTGTTTGAAAACCACTAGGTTAAATGAAAGCAGAATAGACAGACAAAAAGACAACATTCATGATTCTCCTCCTGTACTAATTCTACTACTGCCATTTTATTAAATGTCCTCCCAGCCTTTGTTACCTTTGTTATCCCCCCTCTATTTTCAATGTAACAATTTTGTTGGAACAAGTTATCTCTCAGGTTGCCTGGAGTCACCTGAAAAACTCTTACCCGCCCAGTACTTACTCTCTTAATCCCTCTGGGGCTGTTTCTGGAGTTTTAATTACCACTTAGCTTGATATTATTTGTCTAGAAAGTACAAGGCATCAATGGGAGCCAGCCTCAGAAGAAAATGAAGCCAGGGGAGTAAAGGAAGATTGAATTTGGGAGATATTTTTCGACCTTTATTAAATGTCTACTCTTTGGCAGGTCCTGTACTAAGTTCAGAAAAACAGGCAGCTGGGTCGGACTCCGGAGAGCTTACCAACTGAGGAGCAGAGACAGACTTACTGACACAACAAATGATGTGACACAACTTGTCATGTCTTACCCAGTCTCCGGTGCAGCCTGTTGTCAAGGCTGCACCGGAGACTGGGTAAGACATGACAAGCACAGGGACTCTGACGGTGACAATTAGGGAAGACACAGGAAATGCAGTATGAGCTGAGTCTGTCCATTCAGTGGACAGTACAGTGGGAAGCTGCTTTTTAGTTGGCCTGACACCACTTAATTGATTAACTGCCCCTAAGGGATGGGCATTTGACTCAAACTCAGTCAATCAGATGTTCTCTTTCAGAAATCTAAATCTGGAGGGAAAACTAAAAGGAAAGCAAGCAGCTGGAGTCAAGTCATTTGATGGCAAACAGATGGCCTGTGCATCTTGCCACTGAGACCTTCACAACTGCCCTAGTTTGTTCCCCCAAGGCCTCTGTGACCTACACTCTAATTTTTTTCAAATCTAAAAATTACTATGTGCTGGGCATTGTCATAAGAACTTGACATAGATTAACTCATTTAATTCTAATAACAACCCAATGAGATTAGACATAGCTCATCTCCATTTTAATAAGTGAATAAACTGAGGCACAGATAAGTAATTTGCCAAAAGTCAAGCAGCTAACAAATGGCAATGCTGAAACTCAAACCTAAGCAAGCTAGCTCTAGAGTCCATGCTTTTAATCACTGTTTTAACAAATGACATTTTATATGCTTTTCTGATTTTTAATGAACCCTGACTGATCCAAAGAGTAAGAAAAGATGTTCTGGGTAGAAAGCAGAGGTATGAAAGAAGCTGGCACATTTGAGGAATTACTGTATTTAATAGTAGGAATGCATGGCTGTGGTTAAAATGAAAAGAATAGAAAGCAGTAGCTTGAGACCAAATGAATAGTTAAGGTCAAAACTGAACTAGAAGAAGGTCCAGTTCTCACAGCTTCTCAGAAACACTGATTTAGCAAGGACATATAGACAAAAATACCTTTATGAAAAGTCCAGAAACCAATTAAGATATTGTCGTACTCCAGACAAGAACAAAACCAAGAAGAGTTGCACTGAAACAGGCAAGAAGAACATTTTACCCAGGTCAGCCCCTCCCCAAAGCCGGCACAGCTCAGCACCAAGGAGATCACCTTGGCCTAGGACTTCTCCCTTGGAGGGAGAGAGTAGAGTGTGCAACCAACATCCGGCTTTTCACTGTGCTGCCCTAGGGGCTGGATTTCTGTCTAAACTCACGTGGAATACTAACAAAACCAGCAGGGTTCAGATGCCTGAGAGCAGTTAAGAACAAAGGAAAAGGGGTGGACAGCTTCCTGCACTCAGCACAGCTCTGAGAGATTGAGAGAAGGTACGCAACCCGAGGATTCAGCCTCAGGAGGAAATGAGAGGAGTGGAGCATGTCTTCAACATCCTAGCCTTTTGGTGAGCTGTCCAAGGAGCTGGTTTCTATCTCACCTCACAAGGAGAGCGGACGAAACCAGCATAGTTTGAATGCTCAGGAGCAGTTAAGTAGGAAAAAAAGGGGTCAGTGGCTTGCAGCAGACAGCACAACTCAAGGCTTCTCTACAGCGAAGGAGAGAAAGGAGAGGAGCATCTATGTCCCCGACTGTAGTACAGCAGTCAGACACCAGAGGGAGCAAGACATTCCCTGATACTGGAAAAAAAAAAAAAAAAAGAAATTAAAAAAAAGAAACCAGTAAATCCCTCTACTTAGAAATCCATAAACACATTCAGGCCAGGCATGGTGGCTCATGCCTGTAATCCCAGCACTTTGGGAGGCCAAGGTGGGTGGATCACCTGAGGTCAGGAGTTGTAGACCAGCCTGGCCAAAATGGTGAAACCCCGTCTCTACCAAAACTACAAAAATTAGCCAGGCGTGGTGGCAGGTGCCTGTAATCCCACCTACTTGGGAGGCTGAGACAGGAGAATCGCTTGAACCTGGGAGGCAGAGGTTGCAGTAAGCCGAGATCGTGCCACTGCACTCCAGCCTGGGCAACAAAGATCAAAACTCTGTCTCAAAAAAAAAAAAAAAAAAAAAAAAAAATCATAGAAAAAGTTTAAGAGGCCCCCAGAATCTCTGGCTAAGCTGATTAATAAGAGTCTTTCCCTGTCAAAGCCAGTCTGTAAAAACAGGGAGAGGAGACTGTTTCTTTAATTGTGCAGACACCAATGCAAAGCTACAAGGAAGAAAGAGCATCAGGGAAATGTAACACAATCAAAGTACCAAAATAAATGTCCAGTAATCAACATTAAAGAGATGAAGATCTATGAACTGCCCAACAAAGAACTAAAAATAATTGTCTTATAAGAACACAGAAAAGTAAATGAAATTAGGAAAATGATATATGAGCAAAATAAGAGTATCAACAAAGAATTGATAAACTATAGAAAGAACTAAACAGCAATTCTGGAGCTAAAGAATATAATAACTGAACTGAAAAATTGACTAGAGGGCCATACCAGCATATTTCAGCAAGCAAAAGAGAATCGGAGAATTTGAAGCAGGTCATGTGAAATTACCCAGTCCAAAAAGAAAAAAGAACAAAGAAAGAAGAAGAGTTAAGAAAGCCTAAGACACTTACAGTACACCAACAAGCAAACCAATGTGTGCATTATGGGTGTCTCGGGAGAAGAAAAAAAGGAGCTGAAAGCTTATTTAAGGAAATAGTGGCTGAAAACTTCACAAATCTAGAAAGAGTAATGGACATCCAGATTCATAAAGCTCAAAGGACCCCAAATAAGATTAATCCAAAGAAACATACATTAAGATACATTGTAATCAAACTGTCAAAATTCAAAAACAAAAAGAACTTTAAAAGCAACTCGTATCTCCCACAAGGATGAAAAGCAACTTTTCATGTACAAGGGAGCCCCCATCAGACTAGCAGTGAACTTCTTAGCAGAAACTTTGCAGGCCAGAGAAGGGACTGGGATAATGTATTCAAAGTGCTGAAAGAAAAATTGCCAACCAATAATCCTATACTTGGCAAAACCGTCCTTCAAAAATGTAGATCAAGACTCCCAAACAAACGAAAGCCAAGGAAAACTGTCATTACTAGTCTTTTCTTAAACTAAACGCTAAAGACAGGTGAAATGAAAAAACACAAAACATCAATGTGAAAACACAGGAAAGTATAAAACTCACTAGTAAAGGCAAATACATAAACAAATATAGGATATGGTAATACTGTAATAGTGGTGTGCTTTAGTTCTAGTATAAATGTTAAAAAAACTATCAAGAATAACTGTAACTATAAAAATTTGCTAATGGATATACAATATAAAAAGATGTAAACTGTCACATCAATAACAAAGTATGGGGAGACAAGTGTACAGCTTTTGTATGCAATGGAAGTTAAGTTGTTTTCAGCTTAAAATAGACTGTTAAAACAATAAGATGTTTTATGTAAGACCCATGGTAACCACAAATGAAACACCTTTAGAGACTACACCAAAGAAAAACAGAAAGGAATTGAAACATCTCACAAAAGAATCAACAAGTCACAAAGGAAGATAACAAGAAAGGAAAAGATAGAAGAAAAAACTGTAAGACAGAAAACAAAATGGCAATAGTAAGTCCTTCTCTATCAATAATTACTCTAAACATTAAGTGGATTAAACTCCCTGATATGGTTTGGCTCTGTATCCCCACCCAAATCTCATCTCAAATTTTAATCCCCATGTATTAAGGGAGAGACCTGTTGGAAGGTGATTGGATCATGGGGGCAGTTTCCCCCATGCTGTTCTCGTAATAGTGACGGAGTTCTCACAAGAGCTGATGGCTTAAAGTGTAGCACTTCCTCGCCCTTTCTCTTGCTCTCTTCTGTTACCTTGTGAAGGTGACTGCTTCCCCTTTGCCTTCCGCCATAATTGTAAGTCTCCTGAGGCCTCCCCAGTCATGTGGAACTGTTGGTCAATTAAACCTCTTTTCTTTATAAATTACACAGTCTTAGGTAGTATAGCAACGTGAGAATAGACTAATACATTCCCCAGTTAAAAGACACAAAATGGCTGAATGGATTAAAAAAAAAGACCAAACTATAACTTGTCTACAAGATACTCGCTTTAGATTTAAGGACATACACATAGTTTGATAGTGAAGAAACGGATAAAGACATTCCATGCAAATGGTAACCAAAAGAGAGCAGAGGTAGCCATACTTATATCAGACAAAATATACTTTAAGTTAAAAATTGTCACAAGGACAAACAAGGTCATTACATAATGATAAAAGGGCCAATTCATCAGGAAGATATAACAGATCTGAAGGGAGAAACAGATGATACAATAACAGTAGGAGACTTCAATAACCCCACTTTCAATAATTTATAGAACATCCAGACCAAAATCAGTAAGAAAACAAAGGACTTGAAGAACACTATAGATCAGTGGTCCCCAAGCTTTTTGGCACTGGTTTCATGGAAGACAATTTTTCCAGACTGGGCATAGGGGGGTGTTTCATAAGGCATTAGATTCTCATAAGGAGCACGCAACCTAGAGCCTTCACATGCACAGTTCACAATAGGGTTCACGCGCCTATGAGAACCTAATGCCATGGCTGATCTGACAGAGCTCAGGCAGTAATGTTCGCCTGCCACTCACCTCCTGCTGTGTGGCCCAGTTCCTAACAGGCCACGGACTGGTACCAGTCCGTGGCCTGGGGGCTGGGGTCCCCTGCTACAGATGAAATGGATATAACAGACACATACAGAACATTCCAGCCAATAGCACCAGAACACATATTTTCCTCAAGTGCACATAGATCATTCTCAAGAACAGACTATATGTTAGGTCACAAAACAAGTCATAACAGATTTAGGAAAACTGAAATCAGACCAAGTATCCTTTCGGATCACAAAGAAATACAATTAGAAATCAACAGAGGGAAAACTAGAAAATTCACAAATATGTGGAAATTAAACAACACACTCTTGAACACCCAATGGGTTAAAGAAGAAATCAAAAGGGAAATTAGAAAATATTTCAAGACAAATAAAATTGAAAACACAACATACCCAAAATTATGGGATGCAGAAAAAGCAGTACTAACAAGAAAACTTATAGCAATAAACACCTATCTTAAAAAAAAAGAAAGCTATCAAATAAAAAACCTAAATTTACACCTCAAAGAACTGAAATAAGACAAATAAACTAGGCCCAAAGTTAGCAGAAGGAAATAATGAAGATTAGAACAGAAATAAATAAAATAGACAATAAGAAGTAGAAAAAACCAACAAAACGAAGACTTGGGTTTATGAAAAGATGAACAAAATTGACAAACCTTTAGCTAGACTGACAAAAAAAGAAAGAAGATTCAAATAAATAAGAGACGAACAAGACATTATAACTAGAAATAAAAACCAATGCCACAGAAATAAAAAAGGCTCATAAGAGACTATCATGAACAACTGTATGCCAACAAATTGGATAATCAAGAAGAAATGAATAAATTCCTAGAAAAATACAACCTACCAAGACTGAATCATAAAGAAATAGAAAATCTAAACAAACCAATAATGAATAAGGAAATTTAATCAGTAATCAAAAACTTCCCAACAATGAAAAAGGCCAGGACTAGATAGCTTCATTGCTGAAGTCAACCAAACATTGTGAGAAGAATTAACAATACTTCTAATGTGCTTAAACTTTTCCAAACACCTGAAGACAGAGAACTCATTTTATGAGGCCAGCATTACCCTGATACCAAAGCCAGACACATGCATTATGACACAAGAAAGCTACAGGCCAATATCCCTGATGAACACAGATGTAAAAATCCTCAACAAAATATTAGCATTAGAAGGATCATACACCATGAATAAAAAGGGGTTTATCCCTGGGATGCAAAGACGGTTCAGTATATGCAAGTCAATTAATGAGATACACCACATTAACAAAATAAAGGAGAAAAATCATATGATCATCTAATTAGATGCAGAAAAACCATTTGATGAAATTCAACAACCTTTATGATAAGGGCTCTCAACAAATTAGGTATAGAAGAAATGTGCCTCACCGTAAGTAAGACCATATATGAAAAGCCATAGCTAACATCATATTCGATGATGAAAAACAAATATTTTCTTCTAAGACCAGGAACAAGACAAGGATGCCTACTCTCATCACTTCTATTCAACAAGGTACTGGAAATCTTAGCCAGAGTAATTATGCAAATGAAAGAAAAAGAAAGAAAAACAACCAAATCAGAAAGGAAGCAGTAAAAATATCTGCTGTGTTCCTATACACTTATAACAAACTATCCAAAAAGGAAATTGGGAAAACAATCTTGTTTATAATAGTATCAAAAAGCATAAAATACTTAGGAATAAACTTAAGGAAGTGAAAGACTTGTATATTGAAAACTACAAAGAAATTGATGAAAGAAATTAAAGACACAAATAAATGGAAGGACAGTCTGCATTCATGGATTGAAAGACTTAATCCTGTTAAAATGTCCATACTAACCCAGGCAGTCTACGGATTCAGTGCAATCACTATCAAAATCCCAATGGCATTTTTTTACAGAAATAGAAAAAAAACTTAAAATTCATATAGGACCACAAAGGAATCTGAACTGCCAAAGCAATTTTGAAAAAGAACAGAGCTAGAAGTATCACACTTCCTGATTTCAAAATATATTACAAAGCTACAGTAATTAAAACAGTATGGTACTGGCATAAAAAAGACAAAGCTGCCAAGACTACACATAGTAAAAGAATATGCTCTTCAACAAAAGGTGTTGGGAAAACTGGATATCCACATGCAAAAGAATGAAATTGGAACCTTATTTTATAACATACACAAAAATCAACTCAAAATGGATTAAAGATTTAAACATAAGACCTAAAACTACAAAATTCCTAAAAGAAAATGTGTAGGAGAAGCCTGATGGCATTGGCTTAGTTAGGCAATGATTTTTTTTATATGATACCAAAAGTGCAGGCAACAAAAGCAAATACAGACAAGGAGAACTATATCAAACTAAAAAGCTGCACAGCAAAGGAAACAGTCAACAAAGTGAAAAAGCAACCTACAGAATGGGAGAAAATATTTGCAAACCATACATATGATAAGCAGTTATTATCCAAAATATATAAGGAATTCCTGTAACTCATATATTTATGCTTATTGCTATAAGTTTATATAAAACTTAATGCTTTAAGTTTTCTTGTCAGGATTGCTTTTTCTGCATCCCATAATATATATATTATATATATATTTGTAGTATGTTTACACATTATAACATACTGTAACTGAATAGCAAAAATAATAATATGATTTAAAAATAGGCAAAGGACTTAAATATTTCTCCAAAGAAGACATACAAATGGCCAACAGGTATGTGAAAACATGGTCAACATCACTAATCATCAGGGAAATGCAAATCAAAACCACAATGAGATATCACTTTACATCTGTTAGGACGGCCATTATCAAAAAAACAAAACAAAACAAAATCTAACAAGTGTTGGAGAAGATGTGGAGAAATTGGAACCCTTGCACAATGTTGATAGGACTACAAAATGGTGCATGGAAAACAGTATGAAGCTTCCTTGAAAAATGTAAAAGTAGAACTACTACCTAGTAAAGAAAAGCCCAGGACCAAACTGCTTCACTGCTGAATTCTACCAAACATTTAAGGAAGAACTAATACTAATCCTACTCAAACTATTCCAAAAAGCAGAGAAGGAGGGAATACTTCCAAACTCATTCTACAAGTCCAGTATTACCCTGATACCAAAATCAGACAAAGACACATCAAAAAAAACAAAAAACAAACAAAAAAACTACAGCACAGTATCTCTGATGAAGATTGATGCAAAAATCCTCAAAAAAAATACTAGCAAACCAAATTCAACAATACATTAGAAAGATTATTCATTATGACCAAGCAGGATTTATCCCTGGGATGCCAGGATGGTTCAACATATGCAAATCAATCAATATGATACATCATATCAACAGAATAAAGGATAAAAACCATATGATCATTTCAACTGATGCTAAAAAAAAAAAAGGCATTTGGTAAAAGTAGAACCCTTAGTAAAAGCAGAATCCCTGTATGATCCAGGGATCTCACTTGTGGATATATTTCAATTCATAAGAATTGAAATGAGAATCTCAAAGAGACATCTGCACTCCCATGTTAAGTGCAGCATTGTTTGCAATAGCCAAGATAGGGAAACAACCTAAACATCCATCAGCAGATGAATGGATAAAGAAAATGTGATATATACATATAATGGAATATTATTCAGCCTTAGAAGGAAATCTCATCACATGCTACAATGTGGATCAACTTGAAGGGCATTATGCTAACTGAAATAAGCTAGTCATAGAAGGACAAATACCGCATGACTCCACTTATATAAAGTATCTAAAAAGGTCAGTCATAGAAACAGAGATTACAATGTTGATTGTCAGGGGTGAGGAAAGGGGGAAATAGGGGAGTTGCTATTCAACAGGTATAAAGTTTCAGTTATGCAAGATGATTAAGTCCTAGAGATCCACTGTACAATATTGTTAACTATATCATTAATAATAAAGTCAGCAATATTGTACTGCACACTTTAAAATTTACTAAATGTTCTTACCATAATAAAAAAAGTCAAATTTTTTAAAAGACAGATTTCTCCATTTTTTAATACAGTTAAAATAAACTATGAACTTAGGAGCTACGAGGATAAGCTGGGAGGGTTTGAAATCAAACTCCTATAATGAATTAACTAATACATTATAAAGAACAAAGAAACAAACAAGACAAAGGGCAGCAAATATAAAACAAAATTTTGTTTAACCTTATAAATGAGTAAGGAACACTATGTTTTATTTATTGGCATGGATGATGACTATGGGTGTGTTCACTTGTAATAATTCATTAAGCTTATGATTTATAACCTTTTTTGTAAGTTATATGGCAATAAAAAAGGTAAAAAAAAACAAGTACATACTCTTTGTTCTGGCATTTGTAGACATGATTGAGAGAAGAGTAAGTATGAAGAATAGATAGAATGTTTTTCATGTTTAGGGATTCAGGATCCTCTACTATTCTCTTCATAAACAGGTCCATTAAACCAACAGGTCGAAAGCCAAGGTTTTCAAATAAAATGAGGATAAAAAGAACCTTAAAAAGAGAAAATTGAGGGAAAACTCTATAATAATTACAGTATGCTAATAGTAATTTTTTAGATCTCAAAAAATCTAAGCAGCAATTCAACTGTCCTGATCAACAGAATATATCCTGAAACAGAATATTTCCATGAAAAGGAACAATCATCTTTCTCTCACAAAATCTGTTCTATTAATTCTTGAATTGGGTATCAAGTTAATAAGCAATCTTTTTTAAGCTGAGAACCAGGGCATACAATGATTTCTACGTTTCCATCTGATTTAAAAATAAATCTCTTCCTACATGCTTTTCATACAACATATCTGAAAATTACTTTTAAATATGCCTTTTCTGAAGGTTTTCAAAATGACCAACTCAATCTTGAACTTCTCGCATTCCCAAACTTAAATACTTCCTAGATTCTAACATGTAAGACATAACCCCAAAATTTCTATATTTAATATTCATACCTATAAGTGAAAATGGAACTGAAACATTATGATTAAAATAAACTTTCAAGTTCACCTCCAATTTCCTTCTCAATCTTTCTTACTTAGGATTATTACTTCTCTTTCTATAACCAATTTCCACAGTAAACTCAATATTTACCTTACTCTCCAAAATAAACTGAACCTAGAGATCTAACAGTTATCACCTATTTCATTGCAAAAAGAAGTTTTTACCAGGTGCTTCATTAAATGTTTATATTCTTAACACAGCTCCTGATTTTAAAGGCTTTTACTCTGGATAAAACAATGGACATGACCATTAAGTAGTGACATTTTATTCTTCAAAAACCCCAAGCCTGTCACATCACCCATCTTTATTATTTGAAATCTAACAAGAACAAAGTATAAACACGGAAATCATGCTAAATATCTAACAAAAGTACCATACAACCCTTTTTTTTTTTTTTTTTTTTTGAGACAGAGTTTTGATCTTTATTGCCCAGGCTGGAGTACAGTGGCACAATCTCAGCTTACTGCAACCTCCACCTCCCAGGTTCAAGTGGTCCTCCTGCCTCAGCCCCCCTAGTAGCTGGGATTACAGGGACACGTCACCATGCCCGGCTACTTTTTGTATTTTTAGTAGAGATGGGGTTTCACCATGTTGGCCAGGCTGGTCTTGAACTCCTGACCTCAGGTGATCCACCCACCTTGGCCTCCCAAAGTGCTGGGATTACAGGCGTGAGCCACCGCGCCCAGCCCATACAACCCTTTTAAAACGAAAAAGAAGAGCAAATTTTTGTTTCAAATAGAAAGATGACCAAAGGATAGAATAGTATACAGATTGTCCTTGACTTACGGTGGGGTATATCCCAACAAACTCACCATAAATTGAAAATATTTTAAGTCAAAATGCATTTAATACATCCAACTTACTGAACATCATAGCTTAGCCTAGCCTACTTTAAACACGCTTAGAACACTTACATTCACCTATAGTTGGGCAAAATGAGTTAACAAAAAGCCTATATTATAATAAAAGTGTTGAATATCTCAAGTAATTTATTGAATACAATATGCATTGTTTACCCTCATGATTGCACAGCTGATTGGGAGCTGCGACTTGCTGCCACTGCTCAGCATGAAAAGAGAGCATCATACAACATATCACTAACCCAGCAAAACAACAAAATTCAAAATTCAAAGTATGGTTTCTACTGAATGCGTATTGCTTTTGCAACATCAAACAGTCAAAAAATATTAAGTCAAGCCATCCTAAGTTGGGGACTATTCATATTAGCAAGTAGCCCCCAGACAGGAATAATAAGGAGCTAATTTTTCAAAAGTCAATTCAGCATTGGAATATTTTGGTATCTTAACTACTATAAAGGTGAAAGAGAAATACTTAAAATGCTACATGAATTAGTGTTTTAAAAGTTTGTGAGGCTTATTCTAAATTGTTAATGTACTCACTTTTCTGAACTTCCAGATGTCGAAAGTTGCAGCCACATAATCTGCAAGTCCCTTGAAGAGATCCAAATTATGGTACTGGAGGTCTTTGCAGGACTGCAATATGTTGATCATTATTCTTAAAGGACACCCATGGATATTATCTTGAAGAATGAGTTAAATAAACAAACAAAAATTACCTGATTGTTTTGAATACAACATGCTTTATTCTTTTTTCATATAAAAGCAAAGTTTTTAAAACAAAACAAAAATAGTCTAAAACAGAAGCTCAGGTATTGCAAATGATGAAAGAAAAATTCCTCTTACCTAGGACCACCTTACTGCATTCATCCAGGAGTATAAGAGATCGGTGATTCATGGCAGCTAGTACTTCAAACATGTGTTGGCTATTCAAAACAGAAAATCTGTCTAATTCCCTCAAGGCTTTCATCTAAAGAAAAAACAAATTTTAATTTAATTTACTATCTGTGACAAAATAAATTAAACTTTTATTTTTATTGAGACAGGGTCTTGTGCTGTCACCCAGGTTGGAGCCTCAACCTCCCAGGCTCAAGTGATCCTCCTGCCTCAGCCGCCCATGTAGCTGGGATTACAGGCATGCACCACCTACAGGCATGTACCACCACGCCTGGCTAATTCTTTGATTTTTTTTTTTTTTTTTTTTTTTTTTGCAGAGACAGGGTCTTGCTCAGTCACCCAGGCTGGTCTCAAACTCCTGGGATCAAGAGATCTCCCTGCCCTTGACATCCCAAAGTGCTGGGATTACAGGTGTGAGCCACCATGTCTGGCCTAAACATTTATTTTTAAACAAAAAGGATGAAGTTTGGGTAATATGACCCAGACAGATAAATAAATATACATGTATATATATACAGATAAATAAATATAAGGGTACTTCTATTCATTCACTTTAGTGAAGCTAAACCTAAAAGCCCAGCAATGTCCTCCTAGAAAATTGACTTCAGGCAGTGATAGCAGGTTATAAGAAAGATTTTTTCAAATCTCATCCACTAGAGAAAATTCATGTGTTTACCTCCAGTTTCCTCTTAAGAGCAATCGGTGCATCTTTTCCAATACACTTCATCACAACTTGTAATGTGAAGACATCTTCTATTTTCCAAACTTGCTGATCAACTAGTATTCTGTTATCAAACACAATAAATATTAAAATCATAGAATCTTCAAAGCAGAAGAAAAATCTTAAAATTTCATTTGGTCCAGCCCCTTCTTACAGGCAAGGATTATGAAGCCCAGAGAAATGATCTACCTGCTTGAGAGAGTGTAAGTAGTTAAAGATCGAGACCCAATCTATTAATAGTGCTATTTTCTCTCACATTATTGTGCTGTCTTTACTAAAGAACAAATTATGTCAGGAGATTATAGTAACATATCCTATGCATAGTCAATGTCAAAGGGAGTTAAGTTTTACTCTCACTAATCTATGACATTAGATCATTTATATCAATTTTATAAATCCCTTTTCAAGCTGGGTCAACGTCAACCCTCACATAGTCCCCGAATAACTATTCTGAATTAAATATACATATCAATTCTCTCCTACCCCGCATCAGTACTATTTTTTTTTTTTTTTTTTGAGACAGAGTCTCGCTCTGTTGCCCAGGCTGGAGTGCAGTGGCGCGATCTCAGCTCACTGCAAGCTCTGCCTCCTGGGTTCACGCCATTCTCCTGCCTCAGCCTCCCAAGCAGCTGGGACTACAGGCACCCACCACCACACCCGGCTAATTTTTGTATTTTTAGTAGAGACGGGCTTTCACCATGGTCTCGATCTCCCGACCTCGTGATCCGCCTGCCTCGGCCTCCCAAAGTGCTGGGATTACAGGCATGAGTCACTGCGCCTGGCCAGTACTATGTTTTAAAATAAATTAATTTAGATTTCAATGTTACTCACATCTTTGTTATTATGGACCCTAAGAGAAGTATTTCCAGCCTATGTCATCCAGAGTCAGGATTTTAAGCTTAATAAGGTATGAAAGACTGTAACTACCAACAAAGCCTCCCCAACCCCTCCTCCCCTCAAGAAAGGAGTTTAGTTTTCATCTCAATTTTTTTATTCCAGATATATGAGGAACAAAGAAAACCACATGAAGAAAGCATAAGAGAGTTCTCACCTGAATCCCGTTCGTAGAACATGAACATTCTTGCATGGTTCCATTGCCTCTAAAACAGTTGACAAAACTGAAAGGCATATCTCATCACACTCATTGATACGTTCCTATTGAAATATAATTACAAAAACACTACAGGTGATGAGCCCATAGTAAACTATCTTACCCAAGCAAAACCACTGAACTGATGTACTGAATAAAACGATTGAGTATCAAACCAACAATTCCTACAGTCAGTCCACAATAAACAGCATCTTTGGGAAATAAAAAGTCATACTTACTGAATTTTCCAGCTGACTGATACACATCCTTTTATGCATCAACACTTTTTTACCTTCACCATTATCACTGAAAACACATTTGATATTTATTATATTCCACTGCTTCTGAAACAACTTTTATTAAACATTATTTTTACCTCTTCTTGGAATTCAAGGTCATTACAAAGGCAAAAACAGTTAAAGTGCAGGAATATAAGAACTACTGAAGTACAGAAGGTAACTAGCCCATCTCTAAAGATCCTTAAATGGTTGTGCCTTTACAATTTCCCTAGATCCTTTCCTGGGTATCAAGCTGAAACTTTACTTGTGAGTCTTCTGATTCACATCTCCTGCCACATTCTACCACTGCTATCTGGGTCTCAAGGGAAGCCTACACCCCACAGATTCTTCTTTCAGGTCCCTTTACTTAGGGTACTAAGTTTGATTCCAGAAATAGTGGGCATAATCTGGAAAGTGAATAGTAACAACACAGCTTAACTAGCAGTACTCTACAGTTTAATCACTAGTCTATAAACCTCACAAAAAATCACATCTGAGGAAACTTAGCCTGAAGAGAGAGAAGCTCTTTTGCTAAAATTACATAACCAATGAATCACAAAGTCTTAAGTCAGAACCAGGTAATAATAAGAAATGGTTATGGTTAGAAGAAAAAAAAGGTTTCTTTCCTATGAAAGGGTTTCCTTAACAATTTTACAGCATTCCATCCATATCTACTATGAAAGAAAAGACCACTTGTCTATGTGTTTGAAGGGCAAATTCATTGATGGCACACTGTCCTTTCACCTCTAAAATGTCTTTACATTATTCCAACAGGTCAGTGAGACACCATCATCCATACAGATGTTTTGACTACAAAAATCTACTACTCATACCTCACCAACACAGATGTCATCCCGATGCAAATATCTGTCCAAAATCTAGTAAGAGCATCACTGACCAGGTAAGGTGATTTATTAGTCACTTTTAAATAACTACATAGGAACTAATACACAGCCTACAAATAAACAGGGATATTCTGTGGTTTAAACAAATACACACACATACACTAAATAAAAATTAGTTATTCCTTAAGGACATATGGAAATCACAGTAATGTAAAAAGTTAAAAACTTTCCCATAGCTATGAACCCAATTATTGAATTCTATAGCAAGACAGGATATATGCCAGATTATCCCCAAGGAATTCCTGTCTTTTAAAAAATTATTATTATTATTTTCAGACAGGGTCTGGCTCTGTCACCCAGGCTGGAGTGCAGTGGCACGATCATGGCTCACGGCAGCTTCGACCTCCCAGGCTCAAGTGATATTCCCACCTCAGCCTCCCAAGTAGCTGGGACCACAGGCAAGTACATCACACCCAGCTAATTTTTGTATTTTTTGTAGAGATGGAGTCTCCCTTTGTTGCCCAGGCTGGTCGCAAACTCCTGGGCTCAAGAGATCCTCCTGCCTTGGCCTCCCAAAGTGCTGGGATTACAGGTGTGAGCCACCACACCTGGCTAAGAAATTACTTCATTATCACTGAGTTTATACGTCAGAAGTGTACACTCTTAAAACATAAATGATTAACAAGCTAATCCTTCCTTCCTTACATTTGGCACCATTTCAGTGACATTAAACAGGACACTGACATTCTTGCTTTAGACTAAAAATGGCTCCCTCCATCCAATTTTAACCTTCTTCCAATACATCTTCCACTCATTCAGTGATCTAAAATACAAATTTGAGCACGTCAACCCATTGCTTAAAATTCTTCAACGGATTCCCATTGCCTACAGGATAAATGCATACTCCTTAGCTAGCCGTAAGAGGCTCTTTATGATTTGGTTCCTATTTTTCTGGCCTCTTGTTCTGCCCCTAAGCCTCTTGCCCCTCACTCCTCTCCTTTGATCGCCATGTACAAAACTTGTTCCCACCCACTCAAACATACAACTCCATCATTCTGTGCTTCAGCTACACCAAACTACTTTCAGCTCTTCAAATTTGCCAAACTTTTCCTCTGGGAACAGTAGGGCATGCAATCCTCTCTACTTGAAACACCATCCCCTTCACTATCATTCTGCTCATCAGTTTAGGTATCATCTACTGGGCCTGAATTCCAATTCTACCATGGACTAAATTCTCTTCCTTCCCCTTCCCTTCTCTCCTTCTTCAACTACCCAGGCTTTCTTTGTATATCTTGCATCTCTCCTCACTTTAGCTTCTTCACCACTACTCAACCCTGGGGATGGTAAATGTGGAAGGCTTTCATAAATTTCCATAGCAAAAGGAAGAAAATAGCTAACTTAAGGCCTCTAAATCATATAATATATATGCAGAAATAAATATAAAGGAAACTACCATTCCATTTGATAGTCTCTTTTAAGAAGGCTACATATCTATATCCCTTCATTCTTTCAAAATATTCTAAATCAAGTAAATGCATGTTTAAATCTCCTTTTTATTTTACCTGGGTCACCCTCAGCAAAGTCTGCACCAAAATAGTGTTCTGAGGGATTCCAAGCTTCACTATGGCGTGAAGACTGAACAGTAGGTACTTATACTGCATGATCTTGGCTTCTCTCATCATATGTTCACAGAGCTGATTAAATGCAGGGTGGCTAAACATCAGTCGTTTTTCAAAGCGCTTCTGGTCATCAGACAGTCTTTTGGCAATTGTCCACATTGCTGTGAAATAGTTGCTACTAGGAAATGTGGGCGCTTTTGAAAATGCATCTAACACATCACTCAGGGAATTACATTCCTCAGACAGTTTTCTACTGCTGATACGGTTTGGTTTTGTTTCCTTGGTAAGAACATCTTCATTGGAGACTTCATGATTAAGGTTTACTTTCTTCAATTCATCATCAGATTTATCAACAGGGACAAGAGACTGCTTTGAGTCAAAAAACAGTCTTTTAGCATAAAGTAGTCTTTCAATTCTAAGGGCTGTTAGAGTGCTTATGCCCTTTGTTTGAAAGCCAACATCTGATTTAAAAATGAATGCATCCTGAAAGAGATATCTAATGATATCAGTTGATTGCATTCTGTTATGAAAGTTATTTAAAATGTTCCAGTTTGAATGAACTATTTTTGGTTTGCAAAGTCCCAAACAACATAGCCTCATAGTTCTGCTTGTTGAAACTAATGTACTGAATTGTCTAAGGTTCCAGAAAAAGGAGCCCGCTTTGTTATTCATTTTGCTCTCCACTGAAACACTTCCAAATGGCTTCAAAGTTGTCAACATGAAACCAACGTCACTTCTACTAGTGAAAAAGAACACGTGCTGTCGTTTTCCTGTAGGGGAAGAAGTAATGAAAAGAATAAAAATTAAAACAAAACTTTTACTTAAAGAAATGAAATGCATTTAACAGAAGAGAAAATGGGGAACCTATGGAGCCATTAAACATTTACATAAAACAGTAAAAGTTTTTTTTACCAATGTGGGCTCCCTCCAATCTACCACAATGTGTCCAGTTTCAAAGAAGCCAGGTCACTTTGGAAGTAGTCATTGTATTAATGAGATTTTTCTGGTGCAAAAGCGTTCCATAAAGCTTTCTCTGTAGGAGAGACTTTTGTTGGCATTGTTATGGAAATGTCCTCGGTGAAAATTAGGGGATTAGCATTGATAGATCATTTTCTTTTCTCTTCTCTGTTTTTTTTTTTTTTTTTTTTTTTTTTGAGACAAAGTCTTGCTATGTCCCCCAGGCTAGAGTGCAGTGGCGCGATCTTGGCTCACTGCAACCTCCACCTCCCAGGTTCAAGCAATTCTCCTGTCTCAGCCTCCCAAGTAGCTGGGATTACAGGCGTATGCCACCACGCCCGGCTAATTTTTGTATTTTTTGTAAAGACGGAGTTTCACCATGTTGGCCAGGCTGGTCCTGAACTCCTGACCTCAGGTAATCCACCCGCCTCGGCCTCCCAAGGCGTGAGTCACCGCGCCCGGCTGATAGATCATTTTCAACATGACGATTTAGCAACGGCCGAACCCAGACCATCAAGAATAGGGACCTGGGCAGGTAGAACGGCTCAGTGGAAGAAGCAGAAAACGAAAGCGATGTCTGCACGTGGCCTGCGCTTAAGAGGAAGATCTTATACAACCAGCCAGCCTCACCAGACCCCAGAACCAACTTCAAGAGCCTGTCCTTCCGCAGCTGGGCCGCCCAGCATTAACCCACCTCCTTTAAACTTACTTCCAGGACAACTCGTGAGACTCTTCTCCTCGAAGTAAAAAGTCTAGGATGTGATACGGGCTGCCGCTAAGCCCAAGCTCGTCCTCCACTCACCTTAGAGCACAAGACCGTGACTACGTACAGGAGCAGCCATGACAGCTTCCCCGAGAAGCTGCGCTTCTCACGAGATCTTACGGATTCCCTCAAAGGTCAAAAAGCATATGTTCGCGGCTGTAGCTGAAGGACTTACTTGAAGAAAGTTTACCAAGGAGAATGACTAATTTCCCTGCATACAGGAGTGGGGCTCGGGGATACCACAGAGCTTATAAGGGCGATGTTTGATCGTGTATCGCAACGTAACCCATTCAGGTCCTAACTTTAAACACCTAACCTCTGCTGGGCGCCAGACTTTGTAGTGCGCCTGCGCCTTGCCCTTGGCTGCGTGGTTGCCAGGAAACCGCGAAGCCGCGGTCCCTGCCTCTGAGTCTCTCTCGACCATGGCCAAATTCGTCATCGCGGGTGAGTGATCCCCGCGTCCGCCCGCAGATTGCTCAAAACGCCGACAACAGCTCACCTCCCATGGCCGCTCGGCTTGGCAGCCTCTATACGGACCGCTCCATGCTTTGCTATAGATTTATTCAAAGTTTTTTACTGGACCGTGACGGTGCGCCAAGCATTGTGGGACACTGGGGATGCAATGGAGGGAAACATATCCCTGCCTTAGAGGAGCTTTCAGTCTCATGGGGCACAGAACATGTACTTTTGATACGGTGTGATTAACGCGATGAAGGAGACCTGCACAGGCCTCTGGGAGCGTAGACTCCTAATCTGGGTTTGGGGGATGAGGGAGAGGTGGACACAAGGAACTGGCTGGGGAAGGTATTACAGGAGCTGAGTTGTGAAGGTGTGAGCTGAGGAGGCTATTCCAAATAAAAGCAGAGAGGCAGGAAGCTTCCTGGCCTAACAGAAGATCTGGATATGTGGGGCGTGACAGGACCTGGGGCTACAACAGGAGCAGGAGCCAGGTCCTTGCATTTCATGTAGGTCAAGCAAAGGTGTTTGAACTGTATCCTGAAAGCAATGAGGAATTATAGAAAAATTTTAAGCAGGAGAGTAGTCTTAATGAGTTTGCATTTTAGGAAGCCTGTCTTGGCAGCAACGGAGAGAATGATTGAAAGTGCTGGTTGACAGCAAGGACTCAACTGAGAAGGCTTTTATTACAACAATCCATGGTACCTACCTCCTCTCCTCGTAAAGTTTCTTAAAAGAGTAGACTGCTCTTCCATCTCCAGTTCTGCCTTCCAATCAGTCTTGGAAGAAGGCTTCTACTTCTGCTTCCTGACAGAAACTGCTGTCACCAAAGTCACCACTGACTTTTATAGAAGCTGTTTAGTCTTTGACTTATTTGATCTCTTTGATGCATTGAACACAATTGACATCTACCATCCACAGGAGATTTTTTTTTTTTTTTGAGACAGGCTCTCACTTTGTCACCCAGGCTGGATTGCAGTGGTGCAATCGTGGCTCACAGCAGCTTTGACCTCCTGGGCTCAAGCGATCCTCCCACCTCAGCCTCCCAAGTAGCTGGGACTACAGGCATACACCAGCATGCCCAGCTAATTTTTGTATTTTTGTAGAGATGGGGTTTTGTCATGTTGCCCACGCTGGTCTTGAACTCCTACGCTCAAGTGATTTGCCCACCTTGACCTCCCAAAGTGCCAAGATTACAGGCATGCACCACCACACCTGGCCCAGAAGAATATTTTTGAACACTGACTAACCACATGGTGGGAAGTCAGTGGAAAACACACAGAGAATGTTGCATGTATGACACTGACAGGGCAGGGTTCTATAGGAACGATAGCAGGGACCTTACTTAATCAGGTAAGGGTTTCCCAGAGGGAGAGATTTTAAGCAGATACCTGAAAGATGATAATGAATTACCTAACAGAGAAGAGGTAGAAAGGAGGGGAGCAATTTAGGCATGGGTAACTGGGAGTGGGGTTAGAGCAAGGAGAACTAGTTTGGTGACAATTGAGAATATAAAATAAGTATAAAATTGAAATAAGTTTATTAGGACTGAAGCAAATAGTACAAGGAAGAGAATTTCATAAGGTGAGGCTAGAGTTAGATAATGTAGATTCTTTTGAGCCACATTCAGTAGTTTAGACTTTATCCAGAGTACATGAAAGGTTTTTAGAAGGGGAGGAGGGCCTAATCAAATCTGAATTTTATCTGAATGTTACGGCTATAGTGTGGGACAAAAAGACTGGATACCAAGAAACCAGTTAGGAGACTAGTGCTATAGTCCAGGAGGGAGTTGATTGTGACCTGGCCTAGAGTGGCAAACAATGGAGATGGAGAGAAGTGAATGGATTGGAGAGATATTAGGGAGGCAGAATCTATAGAACTGGATGTCTAATTGACTGGAGGAGGGCAGATAAGGGAGAAAAAGGAGTTAAACATTGTTCCCAAGCAGAGGTTTGAATAATTGCAGAGATTAGGAGTCACTGAAAAAAAAAAAAAAGCGGATGAGTAGGTTTAATACTCTGGATACTCTTACTACTCTTAGATAATTAGGGAGATGGACATAATAAATATAAGCGACTAAGCACATTTAGTAGGGGAATGGTGACAAAATACATCATAGACCTTCTGAGTGTCTATGAGACATTTTGAAGGAGATGGGAAAATACAGGAGGGTGTAGGCATCTAGATAAGGAGATCTGAGCTGGAAATATAGATTGCTACTTGAAGCCAAGGGAATGAAGCAGATTGGCCAAAAAGAATATGTAAGTTATAAAGACAAGATGCTTCTCAGAATGATACCTTTTAATGGGTTGATAAAGGAATGGAAACCTACAAAGGATAGAAAGGAGTGACCATAGAATAGGAGAACTGGGAGAATGCCCCCACTATAGCAGTGTTTCAAAAGCCTGGAAGGGGGCAGTGGTGGCAAATGCTGCCAAGGGTCAACAAGAAAAGGATCGGAAAGTATCTGCTGGATTTAGTGGCATGGAAGTCTTCAGTGACCTTCAAGAGAATTGTGGGGTCTGCTACATTGCAGTGGGTGAGAAATAAATGGAAGTGAAGAACTGAGGATGGCAAATATAGGGAACTCTTTCAAGATATTTTGATCAAAAAGGACATACGAAAGGCAATAGCTAGAGGGGGAGATGAGTTTTTTGTCTCTTAGGACAGGAGAAACATAATGTAATGAGTATATTTAAATATGACAGAAAGGGACTATTAGAAACAGATACAAGACTCTAGAAAGAGAGGATAATTAACTAAGCAAGGTTCCTATGAAGGCAGATGAGGATGGGATTCAGAGCATAAGTGGTGGGATTAGATTAGACAGGAGGTAGGACTCCTCTTCCATTGAAATGAAGAAAGGAGGAAAGGATGAGTCCAAGTACAGACAGGCATGTAGATGTGATGGACGAGGTTGGAGATTTTCCAAACTAATGCCATTTTGTTTTGTTTGGGTTGGTTTTTGTAAAGTAAAAAGCAAAGTTGTCTGTTGTGTTCTGATAATGCAGAGGAATGTTGGGGAGAAGGAAAAGATTTGGAGGAAGAGGAAAAAGACTGGAATAGTAATGAGGAGAACAGAAGAGAGTGCTGATAAGGGAAACAGAGGGATCTCCACGCAGGGTTGAGGGCCAATTAAAGCTGGTGACCATGAATTTTAAAGGTGCCCTCCGCTTGGTTCTACAATGTTTCTGTAGTGGTGGCTAGCAGGTAGGACCCAGCTACAGAAAAGGCAAGTAATTGAGTTCATCCAGGATAAGGGGCTTTTATCAGGCTCATTTCCCAAAAGGATAGTGGAGAAAGATAATTTAAGACATGGACCAGAAAGTGGTTTGAAGAGATGAACCATAGATTTGAACTAGACAGGGTGGCTGATAGACAGGGGTAGCTTCAGACAGGTTGGTAACTTAGGAGTTAAGTTATCTTAACTGAGGAAGAATGCTACAGAGAGGGCTCTGCATTTTTCCCCATCCCTCCTGCTCTATCAGATGCCCAATTCCATCTGTTGTAGTGGCTTTAACTTCCTGGGTGTTGATGGCTACAAATTGTGTGTCTGAAACCCTTACATGGCACCTGCACCCCATATATATGTATACATATACATATACATGTACATATACATATACATATATATCCAGCTACTTGCTGATCATATCCACTTAGACACACTACAAGTATCTCCAACTGCACTTGACTAAAGTTAAATTTCTCATTCATGATTTTTCTCTAGTTAAGGTCAGCATCATCTGCCCAAGCCGGAAAATAGAAGTTATCCCAGATTCTTCTTTCCCACCCCCACAACTTCCTGACACACATCAAATCCAAAAGTGACTTTACCACCACTCCTCACTTCAAACTTTACCTTTTGGTGGCCATTAGTGAGTAGTTCATTATCAGTACTAATTCATGCTGAATTAGTAGTAGTTAGCAGCCTCCTAGAGGAAGTGAGGTCTAGCATATTACTAGAAAAGAATAAATATTCAGTAGGGTTTTTTTTCTTTCCACATTTTGTTACTTAAGATTCTGACCTCCTATGAAGTTTATTTTATTTGTATTAATCTAATAAACATCAGAAGTTTATGTAATAGCAGTTTATACTGCAACTTTATGTTATCAAATTATATCATAACTATGACTAATTCTGTAATTACATAGCAAATACTTAGAACTACATAATAATTTCTGCATGATGAAAGAAAACATTGCTAATTTGAACTCTTTTAGGTAGAGCAGATTGTCCATATTATGCTAAAACAGAACTTGTGGCAGACTATTTACAAAAGAATCTTCCTGATTTTCGGATACATAAAATCACACAACGTCCTGAGGTTTGGGAGGTAAGAAGCCTTTATAGTTTGTTGAACTCACTCATGCACAAAATGTGTTTTAATTTGATTAAATATTAACTGGTGTATTAGACTGGCTTCTAGGAATGACTGTTCATGTGCTAGTGATATTTGAATACTAGTAAAACAAGTCCCTACTTACCAGTCTCAAAATAATATTTATGTTTTTTCCCTAATACCTAGTAGAACAAATGAGACCCTAATCAATAAGTAGAATAAGTTTGACTGCACCCCCTGAAGAATCCAGGTAGCTTACACTGCACTTGTTAACTTTTCATTCTCCTTGGTATTGATTTCCAATGACTTATTTGGGATACCCTTCTTTGGGACTCTGTTTCCCCAGAAACAGACTTTGAGATGTAGATTTTGGTGAAGGGGCTTTACTGGGAAGTGGTCTTGGGAACAGCATCCTGAAACGGAATGAGGGTGGCAGGATTGGGTAAAGGGAGAAGTTGAAGTTTGACATAGCTGCAACAGAGGGCTCAGCGGATCCCACAGTGAACTCTTGATGGCCTTTCAGAATTATTCCAAACTGAGGCAAGGTAGCTGAGCTTTTGTGCTCCCTCCTCAACCAGCCATCGGATATCAGCTGCCCCTGGGAAGGAACTTAACCTTAGGCAAGGCAATTTGCTTTGGCTGAAGTCAATTCCTAGAGAGAGAATGGAGTCAGACTTTAAGTTATCAGCCTCTAATACACCAGGTGCCTGGGAGAGTGAGTGCCTCATTTGTGAAGGGGGAACCTGGAGTGTACATGACAGCACTGGCTACAGTTCACCTGTTGTGCCTTTTGGATCCACATGCTCCCTATAATCAGTTCACACCATCTTGGAACAGCTCCTCCAGGATTCTGGTTGCCATCTTTCCCTGGGTAAACTTGATAAGAGAAAGGATAGTCAAATGAACTATAGTCTCCACTGCTCATAGTTTCAGGGCCAAACTGACAGTCATCACCTTTTCTCTCCCTCTCTTCTCTACCATCCATTATAGATTTCCCTCACTCTCTGCTGGTCTGGTCTTCAGCTAAGTTATCTCATCTGCTGGGTTGGTAGTGCTTCTGTTACAATAAATGTTGTCTGGTTGGCACTGCCCACTGGCCTCTATTGTTTCAGGATTTTATCATCTCAATTGCCAGGGAGTTCAGGTGTGTGGCAGCATGTCCTTTAACAGCCTTGGCTACAATCATATGAAAAAATGCTCAACATTACAGGTTATTAGAGAAATGCAAATCAAAACCACAATAAGATTCCATCTCATACCCGTCAGAATGACTATTATTTAAAAGTCAAAAAATAACAGATGCTGGCGAGGTTGTGGAGAAAAAGGAACACTTATAGGCTATTGGTGGAAGCATAGAAAGATAGAAATAACATTCAACCCAAAAATCCCATTACTGTGTATATACCCCTGAAAATATAAATCATTCTTTTATAAAGACACATGCACACATATGTTCATTGCAACACTAGTCACAATAGCAAAGACATGGAATCAACCCAAATGCCTATCAATGATAGACTGGAGAAAGAAAATGTGGTACATATACATCATGAAATACTACACAGCCACGAAAAGGAATGAGATCATGTCCTTTGCAGGGACATGGATGGAGCTGGAGATCATTATCCTTAGCAAAGTAATACAGGAACAGAAAACCAAATACCACATATTCTCACTTAGAAGTGGGGGCTAAATGATAAGAACACGTGGACACAGGGAGGGAAACAACACACACTGGGGCCTATCGGAGGGTGGAGGGTGGGAGGAGGAAGAAGATCACGAGAAATAACTAACGGGCACTAGGCTGAATACCTGGGTGATGAAATAATTTGTAAAACAAACCCCCATGACACAAATTTACCTATGTAACAAAACTGCACTTGTACCCCTGAACTTAAAATAGAAGTTTAAATAAAGAAAAAAAAAAAAAACAAACAGCCTTGGCCTAGAACGGACAGCCACACTGGGCTCCTCAGTGACACCAGGACCCCTCTCACCAGTGCATTCCTTATCACTTAGGTGCATGTTGTATCCTCCAATCCCTTCCAGAGAACATGGTTGAATGGCGGGCTTTCTAGCCTTCCATAGTACCACGTTCACTAGTTTTTTTTTTGTGTGTGTGTGTTTTGAGATGGAGTTTCGCCCTTGTCGCCCAGGCTAGAGTGCAATGGTGCAATCTCGGCTCACTGCAACCTCCGCCTCCCAGGTTCAAGCAATTCTCCTGCCTCAGCCTCCTGAGTAGCTGGGATTATAGGCACCCATCACCACGCCTGGCTAAATTTTGTGTTTTTAGTAGAGATGGAGTTTCACCATGTTGACCAGGCTTGTCTCGAACTCTTGACCTCAGATGTTCCCCCCGCCTCGGCCTCCCAAAGTGCTGGGATTATAGGAGTGAGCCACCACACCTGGCATCACTAGTCTTTTGATCCATTCTTCTACCGTCTTCCATGAAGTCTGGCATTTCTATTTTATTTAATTACTCTCTCCAAGTTTCTAAGAGCCAGTCTGGCAACATGTTGTCCCTGTCTTCTGAGGTCCTTGCCAGGGTATACACTCTTGAATTGCCGAAAAGTGATTCATACTAATAAATTCTCCCTTGTCTAACTTCATGTTCCACTCTTGATTCAGCACTGTAAGGGTCCAGTCTTGTACATGCCCTTGCAGCTCCTGCTGGGACATTAACATGCTTTGCAGGGTGCAGAAGGTTTTTTGGGGTAATGTCTCTTTCCTTCATGGGCCCAGTAGTTCACTGGTCTGGCTATGCTGTGGCTAGAGGGACCGTGTTGGAATCCTCATAGCAGCATTGTTTGCTTTAAGTGAGATAAAGGCAGGCAGATCTTCAATATTAGCAAGGAAATCAGTTTCCAGGATTTTATTGGTAAGGTGGCCTCATTACCCATGCCTCCAATGACGTGGTTTTTAAGACTGCTGCCATGTACTTTGCTGATAAAAATGTTTCTGTTTGACTGTACTCAGATCTTGTCATTGGAAGGCCTAGCCTATATAAATCAGATAATGATAATTTAAATTTTTTCTGATAAATATTGTCGGAAATCTCCAAATAACTTTTAGCTTATTAATTTAGTCTGAACTACATAAACCACACTCACAGATTTTAAAAAAAGTATCAAGTTTTATATGCCCCTAAGACTGGAAATATTGCATGTGTAAAAGAATAAGGGCAAAACTAGTTGAATTTTTTTAAAAATCAGTTGAGTTGGAACATGTGACCTCTCTTTAAGCTAAACACTTGGATTCCAGGTCTCCTCAGCAAAAAGAGCAACTTTCAGTACCTTTATTTGGTCAATTAATTTGAAGAATATGCTTTCTTATCTAATTAATCTGTTACTAACATCACTATTTTCTATATTTACATTTTACTCTTTGAAGATATCTAAATTATATTATGTGTATATAGTGACATTAAAAGCAACCTAGTATTTTAATGTTTGAATTCTAAAGTATGAAATTGAATTCTCAGGCAGATTTAATATATGACTTCACTTGGGATATCATTCAACAGGATTGGCTAAAAGATGTGTGTGAAAAGAATAAGTGGAGTCACAAGAATTCCCCTATCATCTGGAGAGAGCTGTTGGATCGTGGAGGAAAGGGTTTGCTTTTGGGAGGATATAATGAGTTCCTGGAGCATGCTCAGGTATATAAGTTAACTTATCTGTTCTAATAATGATAATTCTCTTACATTATTTTATTTTTCAAATATCTTGCTTTCTGAGACATTCTCTCATGTCTCTTTTTATTGTCTTTTGACTTTAAACAAAAACTTTCCATTATAGCCAATTTCAACTAGTTATCTATTCTCTGATATTGACTTTTTCTCTCCCAATATTTAGCTTTACTATGATGTCACCTCTAGCATGACGACTGAACTGATGATGGTAATTGCTCAAGAGAACCTGGGGGCACATATAGAAAAAGAGCAGGAGGAAGAAGCCCTGAAAACTTGCATCAACCCCTTGCAGGTCTGGATCACCAGGTGGGACAGTCAAATCCCAGGATTCATGAGATTTACTTTTTATATTTAGAAAGGACAATGAGATGGGATTAATTTCATGATGGAAGAATACCTGAATGTCAGGTTTGAAATTTGTGTGTATGTATACTTATATGTATACACATATACATATGCATCTCTGTGTGTGTGTGTTTGTATCCTCCATATAACTCATAAATGAGTTTTATGTTTTATAGACACAAACACAGTCACTTGGTCTAAAAACAACTCTATAGCATGGCTGCTTTGCAGAAGCTCACCCTCTCTGACTGTTGCTCTCTCCCTCTTTCCCACGTGCTAGAGCTTTCTTTGCCTTTTCTCTATGCACCCACTCCCTCTCTGTAACCCCACTCCCCTCGCCTTGCTCCCCTTTGCTTTTCTCCTTCTCATGTGTGCTCCACTTTGCTCCCAGTCTGGGCACATGCAGTCTTTGTTGTCATACTCTCTCTCTTTCTTTCTCTGCACTGTCTCTCTGTCTCTCTTGCTCTCTCTCTCCCTCCCCTTCTCCTTTCCTCACCCCTCAGTTTGTCTTTTGCACTTTTCCTGCTCTTACGTGCATGTGTATCCTAATATATACTCATTTTTAAAATTGTTATTATGAAATATTTTAAATACAGAAAGGAATTGAGAATGATGTAATAAACATCCATGATCCTATAACCCAGATTTAATAACTATCACATCTTCTTTAGATGTTTCAAAGGATTAAATCGGTACAGATACTGTTGAAACCCCCATTATACACCTCCCCAAACCCACTGTGAATACCAGAAATGCCCGGATGCATTTCTGAACTTCCCATGGTGGGCATTACAGTTCACAGCTGATAGTCACAGCTGTAGACAACTGCAGAATTGTGGCTACAGATACACCTTACATAGCCTATGTTGATCCCACCATCTTTGTAAGGATTTTTCTGTGTAAGAATTTGGAAAAGATAGCCCTTTCCAAAAAAAAAAAAAAAGTCATTATTGTGTAGATGAGGTTGTATTTTTTAAAAAAGAGCTATGGCTAACTGAAACTTACATCTTTATCTTTTTAGGAGGAAATATAAACACATAATTACAGTAATATAATAGTTTTTTTATTTTGATTTCTGCATAGGGGGAATTCTGTTTTCTTTGAAAAACCTAATAAACAGGTATATTTCTTATTTGGGGACTGATTTCAGATGGCCAGAGCAAGGGATTGGTAGTGAGAAGTTTTTGTTCTACTTTTGACTTCTAGCCTTAGAATGTCAGGGCAGCTATGTGTGTGCTTATTTAAATATTAAACCACCCTATTGATGCACATGCAGAAATATCTATTAAGAATAAAGGCTTAAAAGGGACAAAGGATATAACTATTCACAATGCGGCTTTGCATTTTTATCAGTGCCTCTGCTCCTGCCTGCTACAACCTAATTCCCATATTGACGAGTGGCGAAGTGTTTGGGATGCATACAGAAATTAGCATAACTCTATTTGACAACAAGCAGGCGGAAGAACATCTCAAAAGCCTTGTGGTGGAGACCCAAGACCTGGCATCTCCCGTCCTGCGCAGTGTCTCCATCTGCACGAAGGTGGAGGAGGCCTTCCGCCAGGCCCACGTCATTGTGGTGCTGGATGACAGCACCAACAAGGAGGTGTTCACTCTGGAGGACTGCCTCCGAAGCAGGGTGCCTCTCTGCAGGCTCTATGGGTACCTGATAGAGAAAAATGCTCATGAGTCTGTCAGAGTCATCGTGGGAGGGAGAACCTTTGTAAACCTGAAGACAGTTTTACTCATGAGATATGCCCCACGCATTGCACACAACATTATTGCTGTGGCGCTGGGGGTGGAAGGTGAAGCGAAAGCCATACTGGCCAGAAAACTGAAGACAGCTCCTTCATGTGAGTGAATGTCTCTTTATGTTTTTGTTTTTATTTTGAAACAACATGATTTCAAAGCAGCTAGGAAGAACACTGTCCCCTCTAGGAACATTCTGAGTATCTGGAATAGGAAGTATAAAACAGACATAAAGAACTTATTGTGTGATTTGACTACTGTGCAAACATTTTTTTTTACTGGCTTTTGTGTCTGGCTTTTTCCATCATTATAAAAATCAATAAATATTTAATAAGATACAATTTATATTATTCAGGTGATAATGTGACACATCGTATTCCATTTTTCCCATGGTAATAGTCAATTAAGATAACCAGTGTTTTAAAAAAAATCAAAACTATGTGCAAGTGGCTCTGCCCTACTTCCCACCCGTATGATCTTGAGCCGTCATTTAGTCTTTCAGTGCGTCAGTTTCCTCATCTGTAAAATGAGGACGTTAACAGTGCCTATCTCCTAGAATTGATGTGGGGATTCAATGAGATGTATTCCTAAAGTGCTAAGAAGAGTGTATGGCACATAATAAACATTTCTAAGGATGTTAAACTTATCAATAGGATTATGATATCTGATCGGTTTCTGCTCCTATTAATCTTTGAATGGTAAATATCAGAATCATAGGAAGATGAGAAGATGAGACTAGATCAGAAAATGGATTGTTGTATTTGAAAAGGGAGATAATATTGGACATATTTTAGCTACTTTTGCCCTTAGATGGAGCAGGTGCAACAGTGTCCATTGAGAAGGGAAGGAGATGACAGGCATTCTCTCAAGCAAAATTGGAAAGACAATGAAATGTGAGCCTAGAATGTTCCCAGTTAGGACAATTAGGCTTCAGTGAACCCCTAACATTATAGCCAGAGCTATATTTTCTTTTTTGTTACAATGAAACTGTAAATAATAATTTCCGGTATTCTTGCATACATATCTTTAGTATTTTATCCCCACAGTCACTACAACACTCAACCAAATTGATGCTAAAATTATTCAGAAGGAAATGAAAACTTTTTTCTATTTTATCTCTGTCATCAACCTTATAATTATATGTGTAGACAGTGACTTATCTCAGAAAGTCTATGATACACTACTGAAAAGTATCAAGAAGAATCTAAAACAAGGTGTATGTGTGGGTGGGGTGTGGGGTTGAGGGGGGTTGGGGGCTTTCAGCCAGAAAGCTGCTGTCTTGTGGGTCTGCTGGTGCCATGACTCTAAGCTCCACTCTACTCAAATCCAATAAGCATGTGAGAAGCAGAAAAAAGAAAAATGGAGGAAAGTTGGTAAAAGGAAAAAGGCATTAGAGGGACAGAGTCCAAGTAGAATTGTCAGTGAGGCAGCAAAGAGACAGCCAGCAATGACCAAAGTTGAGCAAAACATCATGAAAGAGAAAAACCACCAAGGAAATGATTCAGGGATTATTCTAGATGCCAAGAGGGTGGCAAACCTTTTCAGAAAAGCAAGATTCATGATAACCCCTAAGTTCAGTTCATAAATCACTATTTATCAGACCATGTGTATTGGCTCGTCAGGACTCCTTCTGTTGCAAAAAAGTCAACTCACGGTGACTGAAGTCACCAGGTACCATGGCTCACACCTGTAATTCCAGCTACTTGGGAGGCTGAGGCGGGAGGATCACTTAAGCACAGGAGTTTGAGGCTGCAAGTGAGCCATGAGGCTGCAGTGAGCCTGGCCAACAGAGAAGGACCTTGACTCAAAAAAATACAAAGTGATTGAAGTCAAGTAGAGAACTTTTTTCCCCACATAACTGAAAAACACAGGAGGTAGTTCTTATTTCAGACATAGCTGGATGCTGGGGCTCAAACGGTGGTGCCAGGACATACCTGTGCTCTCTCTGCTGGCCTATCCCTCTGCTCTGCTCTCTGTGTTGATCTTCTCAGTTCAGCCCTAAAAGGTGGCAGAATGGTCACTGGCATCCCAGACTCACATGCTTGTAGTTTACGTACCCCAGGAGAATGAGGGCTTTCTTTCCCAATTGTTTGTGCAAAAAGGAATACAAACTCCTCGTCCAGGCTTGGACTGCATGCCCATCTCTAAATCAATCATCATGGCCAGGGGCAGGGGGTGGGTGGGTGGAATCTGCATCTAATGCCTATAGGTGGACCTAAGGCGTGAGGACAGTCCCACCCGACAGATAGGGACTGACACTGGAGAAGGAGTAGTTATTTAAAGAAGAATCAGGATGCTCTTAATGAAAAAAAAAAAAAAAGGAGGAGGGGAAATTCATGCCAAGAGGGAAGAAAGCAGATGTCCACTATCATTCTCTGTAGCATAATTTGGGATGTTTAGAGCTATCAAGGGCCTCAAAGCTGATAAGAAAAATGAAACCCAGCACAATTAAAAGGGTTCTTTAGGCTGTAGGAAGGAAGCCTACCATATGCTTACCTGGCCCAAGAATTATTTTCCCCATGTGGGATCCTATGAGCTCCAAACCCTGACTCCCACCCTCCCCACCCTCCTACAACCTGCAGCTGAGGGACCCGGGAGCACATCACTAACTCCCCTGAGAGTTGGGTGGTGGAGGGAGAACTAGCTATTCCTACTGCAGGAATCATTCCGATGGGGGCGGGAATCTCACAGGACAAAGGTAGACAGTGATGGTGGGCTACCGAAAATCTGTTTCCTGCTCTCTTCTGCTAGCCTCTCTCTACTATAGAGGCTCAAACAATCATCCCTTTTCTTAGCTTCATTGCAACTAGGAGTGGTTGAGTGATATAGTCTATTTGGGGTCCCCTGGGAAGAATATTTCACTTTTTGAAAAGAGAAAAGGCAAAAGAGGAAGCTTCTACCCCATCCTTTTCCCTATTGCCTGCCCTTGAACACAACTGTGTTAGGGTAATACTTGAACACAACTGTGTGACAGAGGGTGATAGTTGGAGCTGCTGCAGCCATTTTATGATCATGAGGGGAAGGCCAAGAGAATCACATCTCTGAGCTGCTGAACCAGCACATGTCACTGCCTACCATGAATTACCTGAGAAAAGTAGTCCTTCTAGTTAAGACAAGTCAGTAGGATATTCTGTTAGTTGAAGACAAAAGCAATCTTATACAGGAGAAGAGGGAAGAAGTTAATCTCCACAGTAAGAAGTGGTGTGGACTTAAAAGTGATTAAGTTTTTAGGCAAATAAGTTAAATAAGTAAATAAAATTATTTATTTAAAGTTTTCATACAACATTCCTAGACAGTTAACAATGATAAAATCATATTGAATGCCAATGCCTATTTCTCTCTAACCACTATGGTCTTATTTTACTTCTTAGCATGTATCGCTTTGTATAATAGTTGTTTTCTCATCCACTTCCCACCACCCCTAGAATGTTGTAAGGATTTGGGCTGATTTGTTTTCTTCTAAACCTGGTACCTAGAGGTGTCTCACACATAGAATAGAATTCATAACTATTTGTTGACTAAGATGTTGCCCAGGGTCCTCTTACAATATCCTCATTTTGCCAGAGATGAAACCCATCAGAGAGTTAAATGATTTGCCCTAATTTCTATTCTAGTCTAGAACAAGAACTCCTTGTGAAAAACCAAAGCATATTAAAAAGTCCTTTCTCCCTCACCTCTCTTGACCTCTCACTCACTCTCTCTCCACCTCTCTCTCTCTCAATGGTAAGCAAAGTCAGGACAAACACCAGTGAAATAATTTTCAGTAGCAGTTTCTTTCAAGGAACATTTCATTATTTCTTTAATTTAATTATACACCATACCATTCATAGAACATTATTAGGGACTGCCAAACTATGACAGTTAGGGAGGTGATCCACACAATTTGCACAATTTTAGGAATCATAAACCTAGATTCATTTTATACCAAAAAGACCAATCCTAAAACAAACATGCACGCAAACAAAAAATAGGCTTCAGGCAATTTTTTATATTAACATACATTATTATTATTTTTCTAAACTTTCTATTCTTCACAGACATTAAAGACGTGATCATTTGGGGTAATATCAGTGGAAATAATTACGTTGATCTGAGAAAAACAAGGGTGTACAGATATGAGAGTGCCATTTGGGGACCTCTTCATTATTCACGCCCTGTTTTAAACTTGATTTTTGACAGGTACAGTATATTTTGAAGTGAAGCATACTGACAATGTTAAAATAAATGTTTAATGGTTGTAATCTTTTAAATCATCTCATAAATCTTTGTACAAAAATAACTTGCATTGTTCACACTCATATTTGTTCATGCTGTCTACTGAAGAAACAGAAAATTCCACAGAATATCAACTAGGTAATTGATTTGATTTTGAAATTATGAATTTTTATATTTCAGATCCTTCAGTAGTTCATATATTCAAGTAAGGTTATCTCTAAAGCAAGCATGTATAAGGGAATCTTACTTCGTGTAAAGACAGAGCTATCTATCCAGGTTGAAATTAATTGAAACGTTTTCAAGAAAGGAGTTAAGACGATGAGCAGGCACAGGCCAGGCTGGGCATTCTGTGGCAGGAGGCCGAAGCAAGAGGTGGTGAGGAACACAGTCCTAGGACCAAGCCACCCAGGCTGGGATTCTCACTTAGCCACTTAGTAGCTGTGTGACCTTAGTAGCTGTGTGACCATCATGTTACCATTTCCACTTTGCAGATGAAAAACTGAGTTACAGAGAGGCTAAGCAGCCTCTCTGTAACTCAGTTTTTCATCTGCAAAGTGGAAATGGTAACATGATAAGGGTCCTCCCTATAGGGTCTTGGGGAAGATAAAATGGATTACTCCCAATAAAGGACTTAGGGCTGTGTCTGTACAATAAGCACTAGCAATTATGATGAGGCAGAGGAGAAGCAGGAAGGAGCACCTCTGAAGCATTTTTTCTAAACTTTGCAGCACTTTCCCAGTTGTAGGATTTTCTTTCCATTGCCCTTTGCTTTCCTTTTCTTCCTCAGACCATAGGAGCTTCGCCCCTGCCTAGGGATGATGTGTCCCGAGTTCACTATTTTGAAGCATGATTCCTCTGCATTTGCTGCGTGGGCAGGACCAGTGTTGCATAGAGCTGTGTCGTGCAGGGTTAGCAGAAGCTAACCAGCTGGACTATTCTCTGAATTTAGACTTCAGATCATAAAAACATAATTATTTTCCTAATTCTCAACGTGAATCCAGCTTGAACACCCCAATCCAAAAATCAGAAATCTGAAATGCACCAAAAACTGAAACTTTTTGAGCACCAACATGATGCCACAAGTGGAAAATTCTACATTCGGCACCTTTGCTTTCTGATGGTTTAATTTACACAATCTTTGCTTTGTGCACAAAATTATTAAACATGTTGTATAAAATTACCTTCAGGCTATGTGTATAAGGTGTATGTGAAACATAAATGAACTTTGTGTTTAGACCTGAGTTCCATCCTCATGATATTTCATTGTGTATATGCAAATATTCCAAAATCTGGAACACTCTGGTCCTAAGCATTTAGGCTAAGGGATACGCAACCTGTAATTCAATGTTTAATGAAATTATTTTGTTTAATATGTAGGGTACTACTGGTTCCAAGGTAGAGTCTACACAGGATCAATTCTTTGTAATGAAAATAATGGTTCTTGCCATTTTCAGCCACTTTTCTATGTTCCATATTTATAGTATCATATTTTTAGTTTGACATCTTGGGACTCCTTTCTACTACATTTCACTATTTTTCAATTGACTTTTTATGGGGATCAAAGACACTTGAGGAAAGACACTAGAAATAAAGCTGTATTTCTATTTTGACTGTGGATTAGGTTTCTGATACTTAGTTCCACTGAGCCAGGGAACATCCTTTTTCTCTTTAATTCCTCTCTCCATTGTAAAATTGTTTCTTTCTCTCCTTACAGTGAGTGGGTAAAAAGAGAATTTGTGGCAATTCTTAAAAACTTGACCACCACAGGAAGACAATTTGGAGGCATTTTGGCTGCACACAGTATAGCCACTACACTGAAATACTGGTACCATGGCTCACCACCTGGGGAGATTGTATCTTTAGGAATATTGAGTGAAGGTAAATCTGGGTTTTTCATATCTTGTAAAATCTTAAAACCTCTATCTATAACTCGTGCTCCTAATTCTGTGTCCCCACCCATCTAGCTCTTAACATGGTCCATTAGCTGCCTGGACTTTTACAATTTCATACTCATTCATTCATTCAATTACTCATTCAGAAAGTCAACAATATTTTGTATGGATGCATTGGAAATACACATAGGAGTTAAGACCTGGCCTCTGCCTTCAGGAAACCTACAGTGGAATAAACAAGAGCCAGATACATAAACAAAATCATGTTGTTAGGTTTTCCTAGCAATAGATAAAGGGAAAGCAAGGTCAATTCTAGGCAGGAAGCAGGTGGAACCAGGACAGGCTTCATAAAGAAGGTGACACTACAGTAAGCCTAAAGTATGAGGAGCTTTGACCTGGAAGACAAGTGTGGAAAGAACACTGGGCACAGGGAACCATAGGAGCACAGACACAAAGGCAGGATAGAGAGAGGCACTTCAGGACCCAGATCTCAGGGTACCAGGCAGCGCTGGGAATGTGGAAAGGTTGCTCTCCATCCACGAATACTGCATATAAACTTTTACAGCCCTAATGTTTTAATCCGCTAAAAACTATGCAGAAGAATTCTACATTTTTGTTTGTTTGCTTGAGATGGAGTCTTGCTGTGACGCTCAGGCTGGGGTGCAATGGCACCATCTCAGCTCACTGCAACCCCCTCCTTCTGGGTTCAAGTGATTCTCCTGCCCCAGCCTCCCGAGTAGCTGGGACCACAGGCGCATGCCACTATGCCCAGCTAATTTTTGTATTTTTAGTAGAGATGGGGTTTCACCATGTTGGCCAGAATGGTCTCGATCTCCTGACCTTGTGATCTACCTGCCTTGGCCTCCCAAAGTGCTGGGGTTACAGGCCTGAGCCACCACGCCCGGCTGACTTCTACCATTTTTACAAAACAGGAAAGAGAATAGCTGCTGTTCTGTCATCTGTAAGGTCTATCTGAAGCATCTCTTCCCTTTGGGTTCTACTTTCTCCCTTAGCAAGCTAATTCACTCCCAGAGCTGCAGACCTGGACCTCTCTGCCGAGCTCTAGCTTCTGAAACATTGTCACCTGGATGTCATGTCATCACTTCCATCCAACATATACCAGACTGAATGTACTGTCATCCTTCCCAATTGGTTCCATCTCTTGTATTCTTTATGTTATAAGTAGAACCACCATCTTCCCTATTGTTTCAGTGACGCCAGTACAGGTTAAGGAAATCTCCCCAAATCCCCCATGTCAGAATTAATCTCTGTCTCTCCTCCGTATCCCCACATAGCATTTTGTTCGCCTATCACGGAGAATATTATAGTGTGCCTGTTTTTGATAGTATGATTAGTTGCATTGTCCCCTTCCTTGTGGCACCCTGAGGGCAAAGGCTTTTTCTGGGCCACCTCTTTGCTTCTTCACAGGAGAAGCATTTTATATGGTAGACACTCAATCAATCTTGTTCAATTGAAGTTAAGGTGCATGAACATTGCCATAATGTGAATTCAGATCAGCAAATTATCTCCTTAGGGAAATAGGCACTTAAAACCTTACCTTTATTTGTAGAAAGAAAGTTTAATTAATCTCTGTAGGAATTGTATTCAAAAATAAACAATGCAGTACTTGGGGGAGGAGGGTAAATGATCATTATCTGTCTCTCTGAAACCATACCAAATAGGTAAACCCTCAGACCTTGTCTGCCCATAAGGCTAGCTCTTCACAGATTAAACAAAATACAGCATTACTTGAGGACCTGGGAAGCCCTCTAAGGAAAAGTCTTTTAGATCTTGGTTTCTCGAATGTCCTCAATGTTTTGTTGTTGTTGTTGTTGTTGTTTGTTTTTTTGCCCTGGTGATATTTTTGTTGTCTAGTATGGCAGAAATAATTTTCTTATGTGATCGAGGCACCAGAAACGGGGACAATTTTGTCTGAATGGTGCTCAGTTAGTAATAAATATGGTCAATCTTTTTATTTAGAGCACATCCAAATATAAGTATTTCTGTATATCTTAAAGAAATTAAATGTGTTATTAAATGAAGGATGGCTTCTGCTTAAGACATAGAAATATGTAAAGGAAATCATCCCCCATGAAGCAAACGCACACCAAAACACATGGCAAACTGGGGGCTGCAAAGGAATAACCAAATTTCCTGCCTCCCCTCCTTTCCCTTCCCAATTCTTCATACTCTGGCTGTGTGAGTGCTGTAGCAGGTGAGAAGAGTGGAAGGCCAGATGGACAAATGACTTAGGCTCATGGGCTGCATAGGGGTCCAGGGAAAAGCCATGCAGACAGACAAAAAGAATACAGACAGGGTTCAAAAGAGAAAGACTGCATTAGCCTCTGGATGTCAGATAAATACAGATGGCAGAATTGTTAGAACTTGGATAGTCGCTCAGTCAATCCTTCTAGAGGGAGTGTTTCAGTCCTCTTTGGAGAAGAATTCCGAGAAATTTAATTCCATCATTATCATTAAAAATCCTATACTATGTCTGTCATTTTCTACAATGCTTAACAGAAAAGGTGCATGTTTCTAAGTTCTGCTGCATTGCTTTGCTTTGTGTTTGCTCACTGCAGGCCAGTTTGGTATTCCGAAAGGGATCGTCTTTTCTATGCCTGTGAAATTTGAGAATGGAACTTGGGTGGTTCTTACAGATCTCAAAGATGTTGAAATAAGTGAACAAATAATGACCCGAATGACAAGTGATCTAATTCAGGTAATGTCAGAATAGATGCAAGGGGACTGACCTTGATAATGACCTTAAACTGATTCTCCTAGGCCAAGGCATACATTGGTTTTTCTATGGATTCAAATTTTTTTTTAATTCTTAAAAATAATGAGATAATAAAAGTTTGAAAAAAATCAGTGAAGGAACACTACTCATTTAGTTATACAATTTCTGGTATGTTAAAAATATTTGTTCGTTATTTAAAAATGAAGAATCAAGGTGTTTTTCTATTAAAGAATAGTTAAGTTGCCGGGTGCAGTGGCTCATGCCTGTAATACTTTGGGAGGTCGAGGTGGGTGGATCACCTGAGGTCGGGAGTTTGCGACCAGCCTGACCAACATGGAGAAACCCTGTCTCTATTAAAAATAGAAAAATTAGCTGGGCATGGTGGCACATGCCTATAATCCCAGCTACTCGGGAGGCTGAGGCAGGAGAATCGCTTGAACCAAGAAGGGAGAGGTTGTGGTGAGCTGAGATTGCGCCACTGCACTCCAGCCTGGGCAACAAGAGTGAAACTCTGTCTCAAAAAAAAAAAAAAAAAAAAGAAGAATTAAGTTAGGAATTGTGGTCATTTAATTCTGTGATTATAAAATTTCAACAGGAGAAACTTGTTGCACTTGGAGACAAGATACATTTTCAGCCATACCAATCAGGTAAGCTCTTAGACGTGATGTTTTATTGGACTGCTATTAAAAGAGTATTAAAATATTTGTTATAACTGAATCACTGTTAATATGAATAACTCTCATTTATATTTTGTCATTTCTAAACTAATGACAAAATAAACTGTTAAGTTCAATGTGTCCTTTGAAATAAAACATCTCATAAGAATGTTAAAGAAAACACAACTTATGAACACTATGATCTTATAAATGTTGTAGGTAACATATTTATTAATTTCCTAGGACTACCATAACAAATTACCACAAAGTGGATGGCTTAAAAACAACAGAAATTTACTTGTTCACAGCTCAGGAGACTAGAAGACCTGATGTGAGGTATCAGCAGGGCCACACTCTCTCTGAAGGCTTGAGAAAGAATTCCTTCTTGCTTTTTCTAGCTTTGGGTTGCACTGCTTGCATTCCTGGCTTGTTGCTGCATCACTCCAACCTGTGCTTCCCTCTTCACATGTCCATCTTTCCTCTGTGTGTGTCTGTGTTTCTAAGTCTCTCTTTCTCTCTAAGGATACCAGTCATTGCATTCAAGACCTGCCCTAAACCAGTCTGAACCCATCTTAAATTGATTATATCCACCAAGACTCCATTTCCCATAAGATCACATTCATAGGTACCAGGCGTTAGGACTTCAACATATATATATATATTTTATTTATTTATTTATTTATTTATTTAGACAGAGTCTTGCTCTGTTGCCCAGACTGAAGTGCAGTGGTGCCATCTCGGCTCACCACAAGCCCCGCCTCCCAGGTACGAGCGATTCTCCTGTCTCAGCCTCCTGATTAGCTGGAACTACAGGTGCACACCACCATGCCTGGCTAATTTTTGTATTTTTAGTAGAGACGAGGTTTCACTATGTTGGCCGGGCTGGTCTCAAACTGCTGACCTCGTGATCCACCCACCTCAGCCTCCCAAAGTGATGAGATTACAGGCATGAGCCACCATGCCTGGCCAACTTCAGCATATCTTTTTGGAAACACAATTCAACTCACAACACCAGATTTATTTTTAGATAACTTTATTAAAAGCCAACAAATTTCAAGAAGCTTATTTTTCTTATTGGTATTTTCTCCACTCATAAGAAATAGGGGAGGGCTGACATCTTTTCTTTGCCTTAAAGATGATCTCATCTTAGGTATGGATATATACATGTAGAAATAAATCAATTTATTTATGCAAAGGGCTTTAGTCAAGTGTCTTTTGGAGCCCAATATTCCTTCCTTCTGCTAATGTGTGTGCAGTACCAACTATAAGCCAGTGCTAGGAGCTGGAAATACAGAGGTGAATGAGATAGACCTGATCTTGCCCTCTGGGAACCTGCAGTCCATCAAGAGGCTGGCCACACATTATATAGATGACTGCAACTGTGGTGCGTGGGAGGAGTAAATGTTGGCTGCTGTGCTGTCAGAGCTCATGCCTGCGGATAGAAGGGAAGAATCTGAAGCAGGAAAGTACATATCAACTTGTTTGGAAAAACTGTGGAAAAGCTCATGTGGCCAAAGCCAGAAGAGATGGAGCTGAGAGATACAGCCATGAGGAGTAGATGTGAGAGCTACAGAAGATTTCTAGATGGAGAGAACCTGGTCAGTTGTGGGATTAGTTTGAAAAACATCCTGGAATAAGGCAAGGCTGTTTGCAGAAAGACTGGTATTGAGGGGGAGTGCATACAGCCAAGACCAGAGGCAGTAGAAATTTGAGAGATATTTAGGATGTGGAAATATCAAGAATTGCTGATGAATCTGATTGGCTTTGGTGAATCCCAGGGTTCTTCTGGCTGAACAACTGGGCAGATTTACTATTGATAAGGGGAAAATGGTAAAAGAATGAGAGAGAGAGAGAAAATATGAGAATGTGGGAGGGGTGTGTGTGTGCATGCACGCCTGTGGATGGAAGAGGAAGAAGCATGGTGCCAGATTAGAAAAAGCATGAGTTTCATTTCTTACATTTTGATTCTGAAATACCTGTGTGATATCTAAAATGGAAATGTCACATGGAGAACTGCATACTTCCTGGAGCTCAGAAAGATCTGGACTACAGTTGCCAAATGGGGAGTTGTTGCCTCATAAATAGAAATGAAGCTATCAGTATGGTGGAGATTGTCTAGAGAGAAGGTAAGAGAAAAAAGCCTGGAGGAACTTAGCCTGTCATGGTTAAGTAGAACAGGAGCAACTGACAGAGGACCATGAGAAAGGGGTGGTCAGAGAGTCAGGATAAGTCCCTGGAATCTGATGATGTAAAAGACCTGAAGGCAGAGGGTGTTTCAAGAACAAGGACTGTTCTACACTGTCAGATGCTACTGGTGTGTCAGATAAAATGATACCTGAAAAATACCCAATGGATGTATGACAAAGGTCATTTGTGACTTTAATGAGAGCAATTTTGTGCAATGGAGAGGGCAGAAATGAGACCAGAGTAGAAAGCTTCCTGAGCTGCAACATTAAACGCCAAGTCCCTACTTAGTAGGCCCAAGTCAATAAATTCAGCCTGATCCAACTCTGTGTTCCTTCAACTATTATCCCATACCCTTAATATCCATTCCCATACCTGTTCTCCAGATTTCTGTTTATATAAATTAGAGACATCGGCTGGGCGTGGTGGCTCACACCTGTAATCCCAGCACTTTGGGAGGCCGAGGTGGGCAGATCACAAAGTCAGGAGATCGAGACCATCCTGGCTAACATGGTGAAACCCTGTCTCTACTAAAAATACAAAAACAAAATTAGCCAGGCATGGTGGCAGGCACCTGTAGTCCCAGCTACTTGGGAGGCTGAGGCAGGAGAATGACGTGAACCCAGGAGGTGGAGCTTGAGCTGAGATTGCACCACTGCACTCCAGCCTGGATGACAGAATGAGACTCTGTCTCAAAAAAAAAAAAAAAAAAAAAAATAGAGACATCAAGCAGCTCTTTTTGAGTGTAGCACACTTCTTCATGGGTCATACTCTCAACCTCACCTCTAGAGGCCCACCAAGACTTTAGTCTAGTTATAGGTCTAGAAGCAAACAAGGGTGTTAGGGGTGGCTACTGAGGAGAATCAACATTTTCCCTGGCAACTGCCTCAGGGGAGGCCGTCACTCTTGCCTCAGGCAGCACAGGGTTTATCTCCTCAGACAAAGGTGGAAAGGCTGATGACAGCATGGGTCAGGGAGGGGATGTTGCCACTACTGGGTATGGGGAAGCTGTTCCATCTGGCAAAAAAGGTTCATCAGAGTTTACAAACTCAGTGTCCCCAGCTTCATCAGGGTTCTCCCACACGTCTCCATTCCAAGTTGCAGCATCCCATTCTTTTCCAATTAATGCCCTCACTTTAACAGGAGACACCTGGCAAGGCTGTGCATACACTTTTCGTTGCAGTTCAACCACTCACATAATAAGAGCTTGTGTCTGTTTTTCCACAATTTCAGCTCTTTCTCTACAGGAGATAAGACTCACTCAGGGCAATCTTTGCAGATTTGAGGCTCAGTATCTGCCAGGAGACAGAATCTCTGAGTTCATCATTTTCTTTCATCACTTTGTCCACTGAACTTAGGAGCAGCTAACCAGCTTCATTATGTTCCTTTGTTCACCACATATGGTCAAAGGTATTATGTATAGAGTCACTAAACTCCCTGCCTCTCATGGGCAGTGAATCAGGAGTGTCAAATTCATTTATTTTGCATAACTCATTAAACAGTTCATGCCAAGGACTATCAGTGTTCTCCATACTATTAAAAGTAGAGTCCTTAGGTCCTTAGCATTTGGAGGTCGAATCATACTAAGCAGCCAACTCCAGAAACCCGAAAACCAACAAAAGAACTCCATCCTTAATATTTTGTTTCTCTAGAACCACTCCTGGTACCAAAATCTGTATAGTCAAGGTTCCGTAGAGGGACAGAACTAATAGGATACTTATGTATAAATAAAGGGGAATTTATTGAGTATTAAGTTACACAATCACAGGGTCCCACAATGGGCTGTCTGCAAGCTTGAGGAGCAAGGAGAGCCAGTCTGAGTCTCAAAATTGAAAAACTTGGAGTCCAATGTTTGAGGGCAGGAAGCATCCAGCATGGGAGAAAAATGTAGGCTAGGAGGCTAGGCAATTCTCACCTTTTCACATTTTTCTTCCTGCTTTATATTTGCTGGCAGCTGATTAGATTGTGCCCACCAGATTAAGGGTGGGTCTGTCTTCCCCAGCCCACTGACTCAAATGTTAATTTCCTTTGGCAACACCCTCACAGACACACCCAGGATCAATACTTTGCATCCTTCAATCCAATCAAGTTGGCACTCGGTATTAACCATCACAATTAGAAAAAGATAAGTATTATTTCATGTATTTTTTTGTTTCATTAATATGTACACAAATGTACACATTGGACTATAATGTAAAATGTGTCTTTTATTGTGGGTCATAGTCACTGAAGTTTGAAAAACATTGACTCAGAACATCTCATGACCTAGTTAGGTTGTTGGTTATATTCTAAATCCAGCATGTTTTATTTAATTTTGATTTCAGGACATAAAGATCTGGTCCCTGATGAAGAAAAAAATCTAGCTATGTCAGATGGTAAGTCAGTGGGGTTATAAACAATGTCTATATTGCTAATAGTCGTGACTCATATTGTCCAGTTGTTAGAGAATAATGTTATGGTCTAGCGACCAAAGCAAGTTTTAAATAACTGCTTCTTTTCATATGCTTCACAAACACTTTGAAATGGGCATAAAAATGTCAACTTTTTTTTAAAAAGCACTAAAACTGCTTCCTTGTCATATTCACCTCAAACTCTCCCAAAATACTCTAACTTCAGCTCCAGTCCCTTGTATCTCTTGCTTCTCACCTTTCCCTTTTCTTCTCAATTCTCTATTATGAAGCCCAAAATAACCAATAGGGCAAGATAGCATCTTCCTCAGAACACAGGTGAGAGGAAAAGACCGAGAGAACCAAGTTAGAATTCTCCTTAACAGGGAAAATCTGGGATTTTTTGTCTCATTATGTGTATATATATCTCATCATATATATAATTTATAATGTATTACATAAATACACACACATATGCTGTTGACCCTTGAACAGCATGGGTTTGAACTGTGCAGGTCCACTTATGCAGATTTTCTTCCACCTCTGCCATCCCTAAGACAGCAAGACCAATGCCTCCTCTTCCTCCTGCTCCTCCCCAGCCTAGTCAACATAAAGAAAATGAGGATAAAGAACCTTATGATGATCCATTTCCACTTAATGAATAGTAAATATATTTTCTCTTCCTTATGATTTTCTTAATAACATTTTCTTTTCTCTAGCTCACTTTATTGTTAGAATGCAGTATGTGATACATATAACATACAAAATATATGTTAATCAACTGTTATTGGCAAGACTTCTGGTCAACAGTGGGCTATTAGTTAAGTTTTGGGGGAGTCAAAAGTTACGTGTAGATTACTGATCACACAGAGGAATGGTGTCCGTAACCTCCACATTGTTCAGGGGTCAACTGTATACATATAATGTGAGTGCTTGCAAATATTTATGTAGAGAATTGTATTTTTTCTAAAGCTGCCTATACAAACCATATATCAAAAAAATAATAATTTAGTCTGTTTCCATTTTTATGGCTTCATCTGAAACTATCTATTTAGAAGGAAGCTAGCAATCATTGAGAAGTTGCCCAGTGGTTTATGGGGGCCAGGGAAGGAGGCTTCATAGGGATGTTGGTAGAAAGATGCTATACTGAGCAGTTGACTGAACATCTGCTTGTTCATATTGTCCACTCAGGACATAGATAAGTCATCATCAATGGTTGAGACTTTATATAACAGTGGTCTAGCATCTTGTAACTCCTAGGAGAGCAATGCATTCAGAGAAACCTCAGAGTGGAAGGAACAAGATAGAAGAAAATGGAAATAACTGCAAAAATTATTGCGCTTTACATACTAAAAACTATTCTTTTAACTCTATTTGCAGCAGCAGAGTTTCCAAATCAGATTCCTCAAACCACCTTTGAAAAGCCACAGAGTCTTGAGTTCCTAAATGGTAGGTGGTAGACAAAACATTAACTAGTATTTTCTTATTCTACAAGTGGAACTGGGTAATAGAGGATCAAATTTCCTTGCAATACTATTCTTGTCAAACCCTCCCCACTTCCCACATTCCCCAGGGACCCAGCCTTGGTTGCTTACTCTCCTGGATCCCAGCGTCCCACTTTTTTTTTTTAAGACAAGGTCTGCTCTGTTGCCCAGGCTGAAGTGCAGTGGTGCGGTTACAGCTCACTGCAACCTCAGCCTCCTAGATTTGTGCCCCTCCCAACTCAGCCCCTGAAGTAGCTGGGACCACAGGCATGCATCACCACTCCCAACTAATTTTTAATTTTTTTTGTAGATCTAGGGTCTCACAATGTTTCCCAGGCTGGTCTCAAACTCCTGGGCCCAAGTGACCATCCACTTTGGCCTTCCAAAGTGCTAGAATTACAGGCGTGAGCCACCGTGCCTGGCCTGCTTCCCACTTTTGCAACCAAATCCTTAAATCCTTCATTAAATCCTTCCCTCAAGATGAATAAGTAAGGAAATTGACACAAGTAATCTGCATGTCCAGATTTCCCAAGTATATAACTGAGTTGAAAACAAAGCTGACGTAGATTTCTTTGTGGTTGACCAATCAGGATATTCACCCAAGCCCCCACCCTTTTATTTAAATGTCCAATAAAATGAACAAAATTTCATGCACCTTTCATTCTGAAATGTATGGTATGATGGACTTAGGAATGGGGCTAATCAGGGGGAATTAGAATTGGTACATAGAGGAGCAGCAAAGTCGAGCAGAAATGGAGCTGACAACATAGCTGCATACATAATTTGGAATGAAAAGCAAGGTGACAGGAGAGAGCACATAAAAATAGCTTGTGGCCAGGGAAGAGGCCACAATTAGTTTTGCTATATGAAAATACCTAACTATGATCTCATGGCTTTATTTCCCCATAGAATCACTCTCACACATGCACTTTCTCAGCTATTGAATCATGAATACAGGAATCCAGCAAACAAAAAAGCTAATAATAACATATGCTACTAACATATTTTGGAAATAGTTATGTCTTTTCATTCTTTTCCTTTTACAGAATTTGAAGGCAAAACCGTGGAATCCTAACAGATCAAATTGGATGAAATATATAATTACTTGATAGCACAATAAACATAGAAAGAATTTATATGAATGTCTATATTTAAGGAAGAATAATTTGAAAGATTTATGTCAGTCTTAGATAATACCATGCAAGGCAATTAAATCACTGTGACAGCACAGAGGTCAGAGTTCCGTCATTTTGCATTACTTGTATCCACTCATGTTTGTTTCATAATAATTGCATTTTCTTAGAACTATTTTGGTGTCAAATGCTATTTTTTATATTACATTAAAATAGAGTTGTCAGTCATTGCATCTGCCCATACATCTTCTGAGAGAACCTGCTTCCTTCCATCAGCCATACCTAAGACCTGCACCTAAGTGGCCATGTTTGCTCAAATGTCCTCATCACCTTGGCCTCAACTAATTAGGCCAAACAGATGTACTTCACTCAAGGAGAACCAATCATATTTTCTCTCTGTCTCTCAAAAAAAAATTGAACTGAGACCAGTGAGTAAGTTGGTGTCTGGGTCAGGTTAATGGTGGTGAACTATGTGCCTGTGAGCTCTTCAGAGCTGGTTGGGTTCACCACCTTCATAAGACCTGCCTCTGTACCATTTTTCCTTGAGTGTGCTTTGTATAAAGGTCTGTACAATAAATCACACTTTTTTAAAGCTTAGATTGAATAGGTTTCTGCTCCTTGACAAGAGATATGGCCTGAATAAAATGAATTTTGAAAGAAAAGCCTAATATTTTTACTATATAATTGCATGGTTTAAGTAAAAATTACAGTCTTTTATTAAAGCAGTAATAGCCAAACCAGTATGCTGAGATATTTTCCAGCTAATAAGGCCCTTTACCAATGCCAATTAGGAACTTTTGAAAGCCCAGGAGTCATGTGAAGAACTGCTGATATCTGTGCTTTCTCTGTATGTTTAATAGCTCTTAAGATACAAATCACTTTCTGAAAATTCAGGGAAATTGTAGCTGCATCTTCTGCATTGCTTCTGCACCATCATAATGCAATGGGTAATTTCAAACCCATGACTGACTTCTGCTTGTTTCCAAAGTCAGCACTTCATTTGATGTTATTGTGAAGAAAGCTTAATATCCGTGTTAAGGACATTGATTTTGTGCCCTAATCCTACCAATACCATTGCCTGACCTTGTAGGGTCCTCAACCCAAGGAATGTGACCACAGAGAACAAGAGCTGGATGGGAAATCAAATGGTGCTTTACGCAGAGCTGGGCACATGGCGATTGCTCCTCAACATACAGGGCTTCTTATGATAAAACTAAGCGAGATTAGAAACTGTGATTCAGACCAAGAAGCCCAAGCTAAATTTCCCGCTCCATACCCCTTGAATCAGTTATGTGACTCACTTATTACCCATAACCAGATAGAAAAGCTAGACCAAAGAACACAACCACGAACACATCACCTTTCAAAGTAGTGGCCCTGCCCCTTAGTGATTTTCTTCCCATGAGTGTCAAGTTGTGAACAATGAGATAATAAGCTTCTTCTCCAATTGGTGGACAACTAGGAAAGGGCTAGAGGAGACCTAGACAGAGTTTTGTCCCCTTTTGGGACATATTAGTCCCCATCCCCAGAAGTCTCTACTTCCAGCGTGAATATGAACTGCCATATGTTTGGACCACCATAGGATGACAAGAATGCTCTAGAATATACTCCTATAGAAGAATAGAATGGATTGATTTTAGTCACCATATCTACTACCACACATTTGTCCCAAACTAATATATGGAATTACACTGGGAGGAAAGTGTTAAGTGTTTGCTATTTATTTAGAAATAATTACGATGCCACTTCAAAAGTATTTTTCAGGGTGATGTGGTTTGGCTTTCTGTCCCTACCCAAATTTCATCTTGTAGCTCCCATAATTCCCACGTGTTGTGGGAGGGACCCAGTGGGAGATAACTGAAACATGGGGGTGGGTCTTTTCCATGCTGTTCTCACAATAGTGAACAAGTCTCACAAGATCTGATGGCTTTAAAAATGGGAGTTTGCCTGCACAACCTCTCTCTTTGCTTGCCGCCATCCACATAAGATGTGACTTGTTCCTCCTTGCCATCCACCATGATTGAGAGGCCTCCCCACCCTGTGGAACTGTGAGTCCATTAAACCTCTTTCTTTTGTAAATTGCCCAGCCTCGGGTATGTCTTTATCAGCAGCATGAAAATGGACTAATACACAGGGAGTTTTTTTTTTTTCTTTATTTTTTCGACTGATGCACTGGTTCTCATGGTAGCCTGTTATATATAATAGACCAACTTGGGAAATCTCAAGTCTGATTTCCCCATTAAAAGTAACTTTAATGTGAGGTTATTATAAATAGTTTCTCTATGTTGTTAAAGCTATCATGGTAAAGCCATGAGAGAGGAATATTCTGTAGAAAAATTAGAGTATTGTTTGGAGAAAGGCATTATGTGTATAAAGTAATTAATTGGTCACTGGAATATGAGTTAAGTGTCTATAAATCTTTGTAACTATAGCAAGCACTATTAGTTGCCCTCCCTACAGCCCTGCTTAATTCTCATGACCAACAGAACTCTGATTTTGTTGGGATGGTTGATGGGCCCAATAAATAGTGAGATACCTAATTTAGTCCCATTTGCCAGTGATTGGCCTAGGGGTAGGCATACAGCCCATTTTGGACACTGATAGATAAGTCTTCTGGAGGCCTGCATGAGACAGAGAGAATAAATGGTATGTAAGGAGAAAGCACTTTGGCTCCCACCTACTTCCTTCCTGCTTAAAATGCTGTCCTACTGGGATGTAATGCTCACAGCTTCAGCAACCATTTTGTAGCCATGAGAAGAGACATCACCAGCATAGGAGGGTAGCAGTAAAGAAAGACAGAAAAAGCATGGTGCCTAATCCTGAGGGCTTGATGGCTTCAAAGAGCCTCTGAACCAACCCTGGATCAACTCCAGAATTTCTGTCTAATAAACAATAAATAACTCTATGTTTTAAGTGCATGTTATTGATGGGTTCTATTACTTATAGACAATGGCTGCATACTTAAATATGTGGCTATATATACTTATAGCTAACAGCTATTTAACTTACTAGAGAAATATCTTTCAATTTTTCATTTTAAGGGAATTAATAAGAAATATATTTAGATCATTTGTTTTTTAGAGACAAGTTCTCGCTCTGTACCCAGCCCAGAGTGAAGAGGCACAATTATGGCTCAGTACAACCTAGAATTCCTGGGCTCAAGCGATCTTCCCACCTCAGCCTCTCAAATAGCTGGGACTACAGGAACATGCCACCACACCCAGCTAATTTTTAATTTCATTTTTATTTTTGTAGAGATGGGGTCTTGCTATGTTACCCAGGCTGGTCTTGAACTTCTGGACTCAAGTGATCCTCCTGCTTCAGCCTCCTGAGTAGCTGGGACTACAAGCATGAACAACCACACTCAGCCCCTAGACAAACTGACTTTTCCGACTCAGCTAGGCTCAAAATCTGTACTGACTGTTATATTTGTTTTATCTTCCCTAAATCCAGTCAGTAAATGCCACCAACTTACTTCAATTCCAGACCATGATTTTTGACATTAGCATGAATCAGAATCACTTGTTAAAATAGATTGCTGAGGGCCAGGCATGGTGGCTTATGCCTGTTATCCCAGCTCCTTGGGAGGCTGAGGTGGGCAGATCACTTGAAGTCAGGAGTTTGAGACCAGCCTGGCCAACATGGTGAAACTCCCTCTCCACTAAAAATACAAAAATTAGCCAGGCATGGTGGCACCTGCCTGTGGTCCCAGCTACTCCAGAGGCTGAGGCTGGAGAATAGCTTGAACCCGGGAAGCAGAGGCTACAGTGAGCCAAGATCGTGCCACTGCACTGTAGCCTGGATGACAGAGCAAGACTCTGTCTCAAAAAAAAAAAAAAAAAAAAGAAAACCAACAAAAAAAAAAATTGCTGGGGACTATCTCCAGAGTTTGTGACTCAGTAAATCTTAGGTAGGGCCTGAGAATTTGCATTTCTAACAAGTTCCCAGGTGATGCTGATGCTACTGATCTGGGGACCATACTTTGACAACCACTGCCCTACACTATGTCCTCAAACTTCATCTCACTGAAGCCTTGATAGATCTTACACAGTGATGTGGCCTTTCCTCTCTTGGCGAACCATTACTTATTTCTTTTTATTTCAGGGAGATGAACATTATGAGACTCCAAGAGACAGAAATAGGATAAAGAGCTATTCCTCCATCTACACACTACCAGATGCAACTGTGAAGTAATGTGTAACTTCCATTTGCTCCTTTGCTGGCCTTAAAACTAACATCTTTAACTCTAAAATGGTCCTGGCTCAGAGCTGAAAGCTTACTCGGTCTGCAGAGGACACAGAAAGGTCACCCAAGCTTGTAGCTGAGTTTCTGGAAGCAAACTGGTGACTCTCCCAACAGTGAGCAGCTGTTCTACCCCTCATATTAATTTCTTCTGGGCAGAAAAAGTGAGCCCACAGAGCTATCTAATCACAAGTCTCTCAGTTTATTGGTACAAAGAAGCATGATTTCTAAACAAAGAGGCCATAGCAAAGGTTTTGCAGAGTCCTGGCAGTCTCCTCCTTTGTAGGTGTGCTACCCATCTCTGGGAAAGCAGCCACAAACCCTAGTGTGTCTTGCTCAAGATCAACACACATAAGTCATACTTAAACAATGCCATTAAAATTAAGTTTTCATCTATGGCCCCTAAAATTACCACCATGTTTGCAAAATCCCATGATAAGCCCTCAGTCCTCATGCTGACTTGACCTATCAGTAGCATTTGACATATGTCTTAGTCCCTTCGTGCTGCTATAACAAAGTACCATTGACCAGTAGCTTAGAAGCAACAGAGATTTATTTATCACCATTCTGGGAATTCTTGATTATTTATCACCATTCTTGATCTGAGACTTGGAAGTCCAAGATCAAGGTGCCAGCAGATTCAGTGTTAGGTAAGAACATATTTCTTGGTTCATAGACAGCACCTTTTCACTGTGTCTCCACATGGTGGAAGGGGCTAGGCAGCTCTCAGATGCATCTTTTATAAGGACACTAATCCTATTCATGAGGCCTCTACCCTCATGACCTAATCACCTCCCAAAGGCCCCACCTCCTAAAGCCTGCTATGGTTTGGACGTTCATCCCAACTAAACCTTATGTTAAAATTTGGTCCTAATGTTGGATGTGGAGCCTAATAAGTGTTGGGGTCATAGGGGTGGATCCCTCATGAATAGATTAATGCCCTCCCTTGGGGTGAGTGAGTTCTCTTGCTCTTAGTTCCTGCAAGAGCTGATTGTTGAAAATTGTCTGGCACCTCCCCGCCTCTCTTGCTTCCTCTCTCACCATGTGATCTTTACATATGCCAGTCCCCTTTTGCCTTCCACCATGAGTAGAAGCTGCCTGGGGCCCTCACCAGATGTCCAATCTTGAACCTTCCAGCCAGCAGAATTGTGAGCCAAATAAACCTCTTTTCTTTATAAACTACCTAGCCTCAGGTATTCCTTTATAGCAACACAAAGCTAACTAAGACAGCATCACATTGGGTATTAGTTTTTGAAATACTAGTTTGGGTAGGGGGAGCAAACATTCAGCCCATAACAACATAATCAATCATTTCCTTGTCTCTGATACACTTACTTCACCTGCCTTTTAGGGCATGAGACTTTCATGGTTTTCTTCCTACTTCATCCCCATGAAGTGCTTTACTATTTCTCAGTCTCCTTTGCTGATTTATCCTCTTATACCCTTATAATATTGGAGTACACCAGGGATCTGTCCTTGATTGCCATCTGTAGCTACTCATGACCCCATCCAGTCCTATGATTCTATATTCCATCTATATACAAGTAATCCCCTAATTTATATCTCCAGGCCAGTCACCTCTTCCAAACTTAAGATTCCCCTATCCTACTTGCAATTTGCACTTAAAATGGCTAATAGGCAAATGAATTAACATGTTTCAAACTTACCTCTTAATTCTTATATCTCCCACCTGCTCCTCAATCTCAAACAAAATCTCAATAAAAAGGAATTTTATCTTTCCGTTCACTCAAACCAAAATTCTTGGAGTCATCCTTACCTTCCTTTTCTTTTACACTCAATGCTCAATCACAGGAAGTCCTGATAGCTCTACCTTCAAAATAGTCTTCTGGATTTACCAGAAGCCAAATTTCACCATTACTCTCTGGGTCCAAGCCTCTACTGTCTTCTGGATTATTGTAGAGCCTCTTAAGTAGTCTCCCTTCTTTATCCTTGAAATCTTACAGATTATTCTTAGAATAGTAGCTATTGTGGTTTGTATATTTGATTGAACTTTCTAAATGTCATGTTGAAATTTTATCCCCAATATAGGTTCTAGCAGGAGGTTATTGGGTCATGAGAGTGGATCCCTCATTAACTGCTTTGTGCCATCCTCACAATGAATGAGTCTCACTCTATTAATTTCCACGAGAGCTGATTGTTGACAAGCATCCTGGATTTCCCTCTTCACTCTCTTGCTTCCTCTCTCATTGTGTGATCTGCATAGGCCAGCTTCCCTTCACCTTCTGCCATGAATAGAAGTTTACTGAGATGCTCATCAGAAACAGATGTTGGCACCATGCTTCTTGTACAGCCAGCAGAACTATGAGCCAAATAAACTTATTTTTGTTATAAATTATCCAGCCTCAGGTATTCCCTTATGGAAACACAAATGGACTGAAACAGTAGCCAAAGTGATGCCTTCTTTTAAAATGTAAATCAGGTGTAAGGAACGGTTTCAGTTTTCTGCATATGGCTAGCCAGTTTTCCCAGCACCATTTATTAAATAGGGGATCCTTTCCCCATTGCTTGTTTTTGTCAGGTTTGACAAAGATCAGATGGTTATAGATGTGTGGTGTTATTTCTGTTCCATTCGTCTTTATCTCTGTTTTCGTAGCAGTACCATGCTGTTTTGGTTACTGTAGCCTTGTAGTATAATTTGAAGTAAGGTAGCGTGATGCCTCCAGCTTTGTTCTTTTTACTTAGGATTGTCTTGGCTATATAGGCTCTTCTTTGGTTCCATATGAAACGTAAAGTAATTTTTTTCTAATTCTGTGAAGAAAGTCAATGGTAGTTTGATGGAAATAGCATTGAATCTATCAATTACTTTGGGCAGTATGGCCATTTTCACATTTATTCTTCCTATCCGTGAGTATGGAATGTTTTTCCATTTGTTTGTGTCCTCTCTTATTTCCTTGAGCAGTGGTTTGTAGTTCTCCCTGAAGAGTCCTTCATGTCCCTTGTAAGCTGTATTCCTAGGTATTTTATTCTCTTTATAGCAATTGTGAATGGGAGTTCATTCACAGTTTGGCTCTCTGCTTGGCTATTGTTGGTATATAAGAAAGTTTGTGATTTTTGCACATTGATTTTGTATCCTGAGACTTTGCTGAAGTTGCTTATCAGCTTAAGGAGTTTTGGGTCTGAGATGATGGGGTTTTCTAGATATAGGCTCATGACATCTACGAACAGAGACAGTTTGGCTTCTTCTCTTCCTATTTGAATACTCTTTATTTCTTTCTCTTGCCTGATTGCCCTGGCCAGAACTTCCAATACTATGTTGAACAGGAGTGGTGAGAGGGGGCATCCTTGTCTTGTGCCGGTTTCCAAAGGGAACGTTTCCAGCTTTTGCCCATTCAGTATGATATTGGCTATGGGTTTGTCATAAATAGTTCTTATTATTTTGAGATGTGTTTCATCAATACCTAGTTTACTGAGCGATCTTAACATGAAGGGATGTTGAATTTTATTGAAGGTGATTTCTGCATCTATTGAGATAATCATGTGGTTTTTGTCATTGTTTCTGTTTATGTGATGGATTACGTTTACTGATTTGCATATGTTGAACCAGTCTCACATCCCAGGGAATGCATGTGGGGCTTAAAACCTAAATGACGGGTTGATAGATACAGCAAACCACCATGGCACATGTATACGTATGTAACAAACCTGCACATTCTCTGCTTGTATCCCAGAACTTAAAGTAAAATAAAAAATACATATGGGAAAGAAGATTATCCTTTTGGGATTAAACTGCAGTCATCACATACAAAATGGATTTGAAGAGAGATATATAAAAAATAAAAAAGAATTTTCTTCTCACTTCCAAGAATAGGATAGTAATTAATTATATTTTGAGGGTGAAATGACCAGTCATCTTAAAGTAACAGAATGGATCCCAGGCTTCAGTTAATAGCTAACCTTGACTATAAATTAATTTAAAGCTTTGGTAGATTTAAAAAAGGAATCATCAATCAAAAAGGGATTGTGTCAACCATGGAAAAAAAGAAAATCACAAAAGTTGGTGATATTCATCCAAATAGTTTCCAACAGAGTAAGAGCTTTATATAATACACTATACATAGTATAACCCCTTTGGTAAGAATATCTCTACAGAAAGGATAGATGAATCTGATGATTTTTAACTTTTACCATTAAACATTCACTTTATCAAAACAAACAAACAAACAAACAAAAATGTGAATCAGATTGTAGCTCAATTACGTTTAAGAGCTCATAGAGGCTCTCTACTACAGAATAAAAGCCAAAGTCCTTATGATGGCCTGAAAGGCCACATGATCTGTTCCCACCCTCACCTTTTCATCTCTCTGATCTCCTCTCCTACTACTATTTTTCACGTTTATACCACTCTGCTCTCACCACATAAACCTCCTGGCTGTACCTTATATCTGCCAGGCACACTCCCACCTCAGAGCCTTGCACTAGCCATTTCCTCTACATGGAACACTCTTTCATTAAATGATATGTGACCAACGCTTCACTTCCTACAAGCCTTTGCTCAAATTTCACCTTTTTAATAATGCCTATACACACCATGCTGTTTAGCACTGCTATCTGCCACTCTCGGCAATCTCAGCCCCCTTTATCCTTCTCTACTTTTTGTTGTATTCCACAGTGCTTACAATCTCACATTATTATTGTTCATGTATTATACTTTTTGCCCATTGTCCTTCTAACACACTAAAAAGAAAGCTCTACAGTAGTAATACTCATCTGTTTTGTGGTGTTTTCTAAGCACCTAGAATAATGCCTAGCACACAGTTTTGATCAATACATACTTTGGATCCCTCTTTTCTAAATTCCAACAATGCTCATTCTTTTTTTTTTTCTTAATCCCCTGGGCACCCACCCCTGAGTACCATTCACTGGCCGACCCCTGGAGTTCCACCCTGTCCCGTTCCTGAGTGCCCTCCGTGTGTGCCTCCCCCACCATGCCCTCTGGGCGCCAGTCCTTAGCCCACCCTTTTTGATGTCCATCCCCTCCCATTCTGGGTGTCGGCAGCCTGGGTGCACTTCCCTGCCAGCATGAATGGGCTGTCTATCAGGCTGATAGCACCTTAGTAAAATCCACGACCATCATTTATTCTTCACCTCTGCAGGATTAGAAGTGTAGTTTGCAGCTACCATTAATGTCCCTCAGATAACCAAGCCAACAATACTAATGATAGAACAAGAATGCCAGCTTACCACTCTTAGACTTAAAATAGAAATACCAAAGTTACCAGATGTCCACAGCTCTAAAAGTGCATTAACTTCCTGCACAAGCTACATGGAAACACAAATTATAATCAGAAGGCTCAGAGTCAGAACAAGAAATATTTACATGATTTGGGTATCTGATGGTCTTTGATGCTAATTAACTTGCATCTTCACAATGGAGCCATATCCAGTGTCGACTGGCAGAGATCACAGGCAAGGCACTCTCCCTGCACAGTGCTAACCAGCCTCTCCTGATTCATTTATTCAACACATTTCTTGGGTGCTTATGATGAGTCATGCAGTGTGGGAGGCAGGCACTAAGCATACAGGGACAAAAAAGACAAAATAGCTCTTGTTCCTGCTTTTGAGGAGTTTGCTTTCTAGTGAAGAAGACAAATATTAAGCCAATAAACATATAACGAAGCAAGATGACCACAGGCTATGCTGACAGCTATGACTAAAACAGAGTGATGCGATAAAGCTATTCCAGATAGGGTTGTCATCGAAGAGCTCAGTGGAGCCTAAGGATGAATGTGAGGCAGTCGTGAGATGAGCTGGAGGAAGCTTTCCAAGCAGGGGTAGCAGCAGGTGCAAAGGCCCAGTGTAGGGAGTAAGAGAGGAGATGGGTTAGTTTTTAAAAACAGAAAGAAGCTAGCCAGTGTAAGTGCAAGAGAGATATGGGAAATATTTGGAGAAAAAGGCAGGTCTTGGAAGTTTTCACAAAATCTTGGTAGGTAATCTGGATTTTAAAGGCACTAGCAAGTACATTCTGAAGAAAAATTTAGAGGAATGTAAGAAGAGGTGGTAGGATACCATTTAGGAGGCCATTATGAGCGTTCATGCAAGAGATGCTAGTGGCTTAGACTAGGAAGATGGTAATAAGAATGAGAAGTGGAAAAATTGAGTTATATTCTGGAGGGATATATCTCACTCATAGGATTTTTTTTTTTTTTTTTTTTTGAGACAGAATGTCACCTCTGTTTCCCAGGCTGGAGTGCAGTGGCATGGTCTAGGTTCACTGCAACCTCCGCCTCAAAGGCTCAAGCCATCCTCTCACCTCAGCCTCCCAAGAAGGAGTAGTGGAGACTACAAGTGCACACCACCACACCTGCCTAGTTTTTGTATTTTTAGTAGAGACAGGCTTTCACCGTATTGCCCAGGCAGGTCTCAAACTCCTGATCTCAAGCGATCCACATGCCTCACTCTCCCAAAGTGCTGGGATTACAAGTGTGAGCGACTGTGCCCAGCCGCATTCATGGGATTTTAAGTTGGAATGAATATAGCGAGGAGAGTAAATAAAAAGGAGAAATCAAAGATTAACTAGTTTTAGTTTGAACAACCAGCTGGATGATGGTGCCATTTCCTAAAATGTGGATAGACAGCAGCACAGATTTGTGGATAGAATAGAAAATCAGGGGCATGTCAAGTTTAATATCTAAGTGAAAGTACTAAGTTATCGATGAGTCTGCAGTTCAGAGAAGAGGACAGGGCTAGAGTCATCAATTTGTGAATCACTAGCTTAAAGGTGGTAAGGGACCTAGGCACTATGCAACATGTGTAGGAAGGGAAGGGTAAGGAAGGAAGCCCAAGACCCATTCTGAAGGCACTCCCATATTTAAGGGCCAGATCTCCAAGGAGAGGCCAACAAAGAAGACTCAAGACAATCTTCTGTTGGAAGAGAGCCTGTAGAGTGATAAAACAGAGGCCAAGAGACAGTGTTTGGAAAGGGAAAGTTTTAAAAGGTAAGCTAAACATTGTGCAAATGAACAAATATATCAATGTTTTTGGAAGCCAGGATAATCAAGATTGGGGAAGGGTAAAACAGATTTGGGAAGGGGGAAGGGAAGGAAGAACCTTGTGGTTTTGGATTGCTAGATTGGAATTGAAGATATCATGATGAACTTATGAAAAGGCCTAGAAAACAGTGGCATCCCCATAGCAGTGAACACATTTAGCACCTAAATTTTGATTTCTAAAACCACTCCCTACTAAAAGGAACCAACCCTTTTTGAATAAATGATTGGTTCTAGCATTGGGGCAGGGAACATATGTGATAAATCTGCAATATCTTATTGACCCAGAAAATGAGAAAATGCTTAAAAAAAAAAGATTGGATGTGATGTGTGATGTGTGTAAAGGAAGGACACAGACATCAGCTTGCAGGGACACCAACTTAATTAAGTATACACAGGTAATGTCACATGGTAATTAGATAAACGGTAGCATCCGCATAGCAGTGAATCTCCTCATGTGATACACTAAGAAGGACAAAGAATTTCTTCTGGTATCCTTGCTCCCCAGAAATGTATAAATTAAAAAATAATCTTGGGGAAACAACATACAAACTCGATTGGAGATATTTTCTACAGAATAATTGACCTATACTATTCAAAAATGTCAATGTCACAATAAACAAGAAAAGGCTGAGGAAGTGTTCCAAATTATAGGGTACTAAAGAAATATGACAACTAAAGGCAATGTGTGATGCTGGATTGGATCTTGGATCAGGAAACAAAATGCTATAAAGGACATTATTTGCAAAATTTAAATACTGTCTGTTAGGTAATAACATTGTATCAATGTTAAATTTCTTGATTTAAAAAATGATACAGTAGCTATGTAAGGAAATCATCTTCAAAAAATACTGGATGAAGTATTTAAGAGTAAAAAGCCAGAATATCTGCAACTTACTCTTAAATGGTTCAGAATAAAATCATGATGTGTGTGTATTTGAACAAACATTTTTACAATAACAATTAGTGATTCTGGAAGAAGGGCATATGAGAGGTTTTGTTTTTGTTTTTTTTTTACTATTCTTCCACCTTTTATGTATTTTGAAATTGCAAAATAAAGTTTAGCAAGAAAAAGCTAAGATAAAGGTAGAAAGATGTACTTTGGACTTAGCAATATGGAAGTCATTGATGAATTTGATATACAGTTTTAAGAGCCTCAGCCATGAAATCATAGCCTCTGGTAGCTTTCTACCTAAATATTTTTAAATTTCTCTCAAATTATGAGTTAAATCTTTCTTTTATATTTCCCAACTGGATTGTTTTTATAATTTTTATGTGTTTCACCTGTTCTGCAAACTGTGGCAAAAGTCATGAAATAAGAAACAGAAGATGTAAAACAATGGGAAAAAGGTAAAGTTAAATCTCCATGACATCAGTCTAGACAACGACTTTTTGGATCAGACCCCAAGAGCACAGACAACAAAAGCAAAAATAGGCAAATGAGATTACCTCAACTAAAATGCTTCTGCATAGCAAAGGAAACAATCAAGAGAATGAAGAGACAACCTACAGAATGGGAGAAAATATTTGCAAACCATGTCTCTCATAAGGGGTGAATATTCAGAATATATAAGGCATGCAAACAACTAAATAGCAAGAAAACAAATAATCTGATTTTAAAATGGGCGAAATAACTGAATCAAAATTTCTCAGAAGAAGACAACAAATGGCCAGCAGGTTTATGAAAAAAATGTTCACTATCACGAATCCCCAGGGATATGCTAATTAATACCACAATGAGATATCACCTCAGACCTGTTAGAATGGCTATATCAAAAAGACAAAAAGTAATAAGTGTTGGCGAGGAGGTGGAGAAAAGGGAATCCTTTCACGCTGTTGGTGAGAATGTAAATTAATACAGCCATTATGGAAAACAACATGGAGGTTCCTCAAAAAATTAAAAATAGAATTATCATATGAACCAGCAATCCCACTACTGGGTATATATCCAAAGGAAATGAATCATTATATCAGAGATATCTTTCCTTCATGTGTACTGCAGCACTATTCACAATAGCCAAGATAGGAGTAAACCTCAGTGTCCATCAGAGGGTGAATAGATAAAGGAAATATGGTGTATATACACGATGGAATACTAGTCAGTCTTCAAAAAGAAAAAAAAATCTGTCATTTGCAACAATATGTATGAACCTAGAGGACATTACGTTAAGTGAAATAAGCCAGGCACAAAAAGACAAATATTTGCATGATCTCACTTATATGTGGAATCTTAAAAAAGTTGAACTCATAAAAGTAGCCACTAGATTGATGGTTACCAGGGGCTGAGAGAGGAGGGTGGTTGGGAAGATGTTGGTCAAAGGATACAAAAATTTCTGTAAGACACGAGGAATAACTTGGAGAGATCTATTGTACAATATGGCAACTATAGTTTATAACAATGTATTGTGTTCCTAGACATTGCTAAGAGAGTAGATTTTAAGTGTTCTCACCCCAAAAGTGAGTATGTGAGGTAATACATGCTAATTAGATAAATTTACTCATCCCACAATGTATATATATTTCAGAATATCCCAGCACAGTGGCTCACACCTGTAATCCCAGCAACTTGGGAGGTCGAGGACTGAGGATTGCTTGAGGCCAGGGGTTCAAGACCAGCCTGGGCAACATAGGAAGACCCTGCCTTCACAAAAATAAAACATAAAAAAATAGCCAGACATGTGGCATGCACCTGTAGTCCTAGCTACTTGGGAGGCTGAGGCAAGAGGATCCCTTGAGCCCAAGAATTCGAGGCTGCAATGAGCTATAATCATGCCACTGCACTCCAGTCTGGGCAACAGAGCAAGACCTTGTCTCTAAATAAATAAATAAAACATCATATACACAATAAGCATATACCATTTTTTGTTCATTTAAATAGTTAATTAATAATAATACCAAATGTCTTCATAACACCTACTGAAATTATCACTTGATTTCGTTTACTGGACCTATTAATAGTTATGTTATCAATTCCACATATCAAGCATCTTTGTAGCTCTAGAATAAAACCTACACAGTTATGGTAAATTATTCTTTTAATATATGGTTTCTAGGTTCTTTATTTAGGATTTTCTCATTGGTATTTATAAATTACACTGGCCCATATGTTTTTATGTGAGAGTATGTGTGGGATAGAGAGAAACATATGATAGCTTTGTCATTTTTGGCATTCAGTGTTTTGCTGGCTTTATAAAATACATTTGGTAACCTTGTAGGTCTTCTAACCATTTCCAAAGTATAAAAATCTTTTGTTTTTTAAAGCCTTGAAGCCTTTACCCATAAAATGATCTGGGCTCAGAATGTAATATTTTAAGGTCATTTGTTCTATCTTCCTTGGTACAGGTTTTCTATTTTTTTCTTGAGTCAACTTCAGTAACTTAATTTTTTCTCTGAGATTATTCACCATGTATGTAAATACATGTAAATCCTCTTTCTCTCTTGGGAGTTATAGTCTTCAAATGTATGTGTAAGGAGCCAACAGAGAGCGAGTGAACAGAAAGAGTGCCTATACACAGGAAGGAGTGGCTGCCCAGGTTCTGGCTGGTGTGAAACATTTATGTCCCAACCAGGGCAAATTGTGATTGTGTGGAAAGATTGCGCCTTCTTCCTACCTGCTTTCTCAAGGTAAAGGCAGAGTCAATCACCAATTATGATTTATAGAAACTACTGCCTTGCTAGCAAAAAATGCCACCTCATCAGTTATTTATGGTATTGTAAGATCATAAATTTGATTTATAACCCAAAACATTTATAGGAAGAAAAAACTGGTTTTGACTTATAACCCAAAACATTTTATGGAAAGAAAAGGAAAAGTCTTAATATGACTATATGAACTTGAGCCAGGGGGCTGCAACAGTAACTACAAAGTTCCAGTTGACAGAAGTAAGTGAAACCAAAACAGTCCTCAGATCTTTTCTCTAAGCCTGTCTGAAATCCAGCCATGCTAAGAGCTTAGGACTATCAATTGTCCATTTGCTGAGATTACTTTCCAACATACCCCGGTTCATTCTTAGGTACTTAAACATTTGTTTATTTAGTTACGTTATTTTGACTGAAACTTCACACAATTTTTTTTTGGCACCAAGATCCTTGTTCCACAGAATCAGTCAATGCCAGAGATGTCTGATGAAATCTAAAAATGTCAGCACTCAGAAAAATGTTCAAACCTCCTTCTATTGCTGATATCTCAGACACTATGATGTGTCACAATGCAGATATAATGTAATATAAAACTTCTAAATACAATTTCAGCTTTGAGTCTGCAGTACTCAGGTACAGATTCCGTGTGCAATAGATTTACTTTCTTCCTAGATTTTTGTCTTATCTGTTCCCAGAAAATCAGTCATTTATCTAGACAAAGACCCATGATAGATTATTTTCTCCTTCACTTGATTCCATTCTTGCCCCATAACTTATCAATTTTTATTTTTTAAAATGTCTCAAGTTTCAGTTTTTAAGAAACCAATAGTGTCATACTAATATGTTTCAAAAACAAAATAATAAATTAACTATCATTGGATGTCATACTAACTTTTCAAAGCTGATTTTATTATGGGACATTCTAGAGTGAATCTGTGCCCACTTACCAGAATTGTTTTAAGTGTATCTTTTGGGACCTGAAAACTCAGATATTTCAGCTCTCCAGGTGTGCTCATGAAGTAAAACACCTATGCTTGGAGTTCAAACATTTTTTAAAGACATGTTAAATTGATTCCTATATTAGTTCGTTCTCATACCCCAGACTGGGTAATTTATAAAGGAAAGAGGATTAATGAACTCACAGTTCCACATGGCTGGAGAAGCGTCACAATCATGGCGGAAAGCAATGGAAGAGGAAAGGCACATCTTACATGGTGGCAGGCAAGAGCGCTTATGCAGGGAAACTCCCATTTATAAAACCATCAGATCACGTGAGACTTATTCACCACCATGAGAACAGTATGGGGGAAACAGCCCCCATGATTCAATTATCTCCACCCAGCCCTGCCCTTGACACATGGGGATTATTACAATTCAAGGTGAGATTTGGGTGGGGACACAGCCAAACTATATCCGCTCCCTACCTTTTCAACAGCTTGAAGTCATTAATGGTAAAGTTGTGATACATTTGGTTCATGTGACATCATCTTTTAAAAATCCTAATAGGATTAGAACAAATTCATTTTTAGTCTAAACTTCTTTAGAAATAAGACGTTTTCTGATTATACTTAATTTTAAGAGGAAATGTACATTCATAACAAATTATTATTATCCTTTTCAAGACCTGCATTATATTTAATGCCTTTTAAAAATGTGTAACCCCATCTCTGTGTTTATAAAAGAATAAAATTACTTCAGTTCCACTCCTAGGTCACTCCTATCTGAGTTGGTTTGGAAGGTGGCGGTTATGTGGGACATGGGGCCCTTCTGACTGCTTGCTGCTCTCTGTGATATGCCCTGCTCTCAATAGCACCCAGAAGTTTTACCTGCCTTTCAGTTTACATCAGTTTACATGTGAAACTGATATGAAAATGGCCCTTTGAAACAAGAGATGTGGGAGTAGCCTTAAATTATTCAGGATCTTTATTATTAATGAATGTGCTTCTGTGAGCCCTTAAAAATAGTGCAGCCTCAAAGATTACTGTTTTGCATGCAATTGCTAGACAACCAGAACAAGAAATCAACTCTACACAGGAATGCTACATCTGGAAACCTGATTTTACTCAGCTTCTGTCTTCTAGAACTGCTGAGTCATTTTTACGGAGGTTCCACTAGAATGCTTCTCTGCGGAAACTAAGAAAGGTAAGGACTTGGTGTAGAGGCAGATAGATCATATCTTCAGCTATCCTGTTGACTGGCCGGGAGGCTGGACCCTTCCAGGCCTACCTAGGAACTTCAGGAATTTCTACACCAAGAAGAGTTCTAAACTGATTTCCCATGCTACAACTTTTCTAAAAAATCTTATTTGAATATATATGGAAACTTGCTAGGTTTTGGGAAGTCTTAGATTACCACTATTATTATTATTATTATTATTATTATTATTGAGGCAGAGTCTTGCTCTGTCACCTAAGCTGGAGTGCAGTGTCACATCTTGGCTCACTGCAACCTCTGCCTCCAGCTTCAAGCAACTCTTTTGCCTCAGCCTCCCGAGTAACTGGGATTAGAGACACCCACCACCACGCCTGGCTAATGTTTGCATTTTTAGTAGAGATGGGGTTTCATCATGTTGGCCAGGCTGGTCTCAAACTCCTGACTTCAGGTGATCTGCCTCCTTCAGCCTCCCAAAGTGCTGGATTAGAGGCGTGAGAGCCACTGTGCCTGGCCACTGTTATATTTTTAAAGAATGAATGTAATCAGATTTTTCTTTAATTTTGCTTTCTGTAAAATGTTATTTATCTGCCCAAATAACTTGTGCTCTAATTCATTCATTCATTAGAAGGAGGGTAAAGTATTATTTAAATGTAATTATCATATAACTTTTTAAAAACAGTTTTAAACTACCCATGATAACACAGGTAGTTATGTACCCATGTTACATCTTTTTCTGAGAACTAATAAGGCTTTTCTTACACCACAACCCATTCTTTTTGCTGAAAATGAATATATATGTGTATATATATAGTATATTAGACACACACAGAGACTTCAAAAGTTCATGGAAAAATGGAATTAAAAGATAAAAATAAAAACAAATTTATTTATCAGCATAAGCCTTATCAAGTTCAAGACACTTTTGTAAGTGATAATACCAGCCATTTAGTCCATCCTTAAAGAACCGAGGATCCTGAGAATTTAACCATGTCAGTGCAGTCCTTTTGACATTATTAACTGAAGAAAACTAGGTGCCCTTTGAAGATTTTTTAAGATTAGGAAACAAAAAGAAAAGAGAAGGAGCCAAATCAGAATTGTAAAGTGGATACCTAATGATTTCTCTTCAAATCACTTGCAAAATTGTCCTTATGTGATGAGAAGAATGAGCAGAAGCAGTGTCATGGAGGACTCGCTGGTGATGCTGTCCTGGGTGTTTTTCTGCTAATGCTTTGGCTAACTTTCTCAAAATGCTCTCATGATAAGCAGATATTATTGTTCTTTTGGCCCGTCAACAAGCAAAATACCTGGAACATCCTAAAAACTGTTGCCAGAACCTTTTCTCTTGATAGGTCTGCTTTTGCTTTGACTGGACCACTTCCATCTCTTGGTAGCCGTTGCTTTGATTGTACTTTGTCTTCAGGATTATACTGGCAAAGTCATGTTTCATCTCTTGTTACAATTCTGCAAAGAAAGGCTTCAGAATCTTGGTCCCACATGTTTAAAATTTCCATTGACCCTGCTCTTGTCTGCAGCTGATCTACGTGCAATGGTTTTGGCACCCTTCTGGTAGAAAGCTAGCGCAACTTCAATTTTTCAGTTAGAATTGTGTAAGCTCAATCAGTTGAGCTATCTATGGAGTTGGCTATTGTTTCTTCTGTTAATTGTCCTCTTAAATTACAGCATTCACATTTCTTTAAAGAAAAAACTTCATTTTTTTCTTGCAAACTGATGTGGATGGTCCACTGCTGTGGGTTTCATCTTTCACATCCTCTCATCCCTTCTCAAAATGAGTTATCTCTCTGTGAACTACTGATTTCTTTTTTCCTTTCTTTTTTTAAAATTTAATTTTATTTTAAGTACTGGGATACATGCGTAGGACGTGCAGGTTTGTTACACAGGTAAACATGTGCCATGGTGGTTTGCTGCACCTATCAGCCCATCACCTGGGTATTAAGCCCTACATGCATTAGCTATTTATTCTGATGCTCTTCCTCTTCCTGCACCTCCAACAGGCCCCAGTGTGTGTAGTTCCCCTCCCTGCATCCATGTGTTCTCATTGTTCAGCTCCCACTTATAAGTGAAAACATGCAGTCTTTGGTTTTCTGTTCCTGTATTAGTATGCTGAGGATAATGGCTTCCAGCTCCACCCATGTCCCTGCAAAGGATATGATCTTGTTCCTTTATATGGCTGCATAGTATTCCATGGTGTAAACTATTGATTTATTTGGGGCATTGTCCCCATAAACTTTTTGTAAAGCATCAATGATTTTACTATTTTACCACCCAAGTTTTACCATAAATTTGACGTTTGTTCTTGCTTCCATTTTAGCAGAATTCATGTTGCTCTCAAGAGCTATTTTCAGACTGATATCTTATCCTTCTTAATGCTTCAAACTAAATCCTGTTCAGACATGCTTCAACAATCTAGTGTGAGTTTATTTTGGTACAAAAAAATTTTGAAATCCTTGCCTATTTTTTTTCAGAATATACATTTTCCACAAACCTCTTGTGTGTGTGTTGTTTGAACAATAGTTGCAACATGAAACAATTAACAAAGGTAGCTAATTGACTACTCTTTTAAAAATTAATTATTAACAGAATCCTATGTATACATATACATACATGTATGTATATATGCATATATATGACAAGTTGATAGCTTTTGTTAGAAATTTAATATGTAGAATGATTTAGCATAGTATTATTAGAAATTTAAGTATTGAGAGTTTCAAATTTTGTTCTTAAAGTTCAAGTAAATTGATATCATCTTAAAGTAAGAATACAGTCCACTCTTAAAATTACAATGCCTCAAAGCCTCTAAGTCATCATGGTATTAGTTTCAGGAGCTGTTCTCAGTTTTCTGAGAAGCGTGGTCAGTATCAGGAGCCTCTGCTTCTATGTTTCTCCCTGTTTTCTTCCTCCCAAGATATTTCAGTCACCTTGAACACCTTGCAGTCACTTTCCACAGGTAAAATGATTTGTTTAGTTGCCTTTTTGTTCCCCTGTCCTCATTCCTCTGCTGCAAAACCTTCTGCTTAAAATACTGGTTCATTTCTAGTTACAGGGACCCACTTGCCATCTGTCATTCCAGGAAATTTGTGAAATGGATCCAGATAAACAAGGTGAGTATTATTGTCAAGTTTCTGAGCATAGTTTGTAAACAGAAAAATTAGGCACAGATGTTATATTTTCAGACCTCTGATTTGAAGAAGAGTAAACATTTGGCAAATTTCTGGCTGAAAAAGAAACTGTTATTTGATTAAAGTGGCTTTCTCTCTCTTCTAAACAGAAATCCACCATGTACTGAAGAGTATCTGGTCTATTGTCTCGAAAGCACCAAAAATAATCTAACAAAAGACTTGATGTCAACATAATTACATTTGAATTGCTATTCAAATACACAGAAACTATTACCTTAGTTTTATGTATATTCATAGTTTACTATTAAAATGAAATTATCGTATATATTTTAATGTCATAGGTAAGTTCACAGTACTGTGTAGTTCAAGTTGGGAGAAAGGTCTCACAGTTGTCACTATATGAAAATTTTATAAGTGGATATGGAGAAACTAGTTCCCCTTTCTTCTAACATCGCTGAATGCCAAGTTAGGCCCAGAACTGATCTGTGGGATTTCTATTGCTAGATCTGTTTGGAGCCTTACTCCCCTAACCAAAATCTACATTGTTATCTTACTTGTTTTATATGAAATTCTGTATGATCCCTAGTTGTTTATCTAAAACAACATTATAAATGATTACAATACCTTTGGGTTTTCCAAATTTGGGCTCTCATATTAATACGCTTTACACAAAGCAGTAGGTAATCCATTCAACTCTCAATTTTCTTCTTTCTCAATTTTCTAAGGCAGTGTGTCTCAAAATTAGCATGCATCAGAATCACCTGAAAGGTTTGTTAATATGCTGCAAAGTTTGTGATTCCGTGGGTCTGGGAAGAGTCCAGGAATGTACATTTCTAACAGGTTCCCAGGTGACATGATGCTGCTGGCTTGGGACCACACTGTGAGGACCACTGGCCTACAGCATCTATTTTGGATCATTGAACTAGATGATGGACATTTGAAAGAATTGTATTATATCCACCTTAGTATCTGTGGAAAATAAATATACTGATGTAGCTGAGCAAAAACAAGAATCCTGGTCAAAAGATATTTCCCAATCATTTTGCTTCCATGAAGAAGAACACATGTAGCTTGTGTTACTATTTCTTTAAGCATCTAAAACTGCTTTGTTCATAGCTTTGGGCGTGATACATTTGGTAGTTTCTTCCTTTCTTGAGTTTGTTTTGTGTGTGTGTGTGTGTGTGTGTGTGTGTGTGTGTTTGCATCGGCAGAAAAAAAATGTAAAAGTTAGCCTTGAGGAAGTGGGTCTGGTGTTGGCTCACCTGGGCTCCTCATTCATTTTCCATGTTGCACTGTATCACAGCTTGCCGTGTTATGCTGCCTAACTTCATCAGATGACGCTGTAAAGCATAACTTGACAGGAGAGTGATGGCCAGATGGTAGAGCAGCTACAGAGTCGCTCCTCTACCAAGAGCAGCATCTGGGAACTTGCAGAGCCCCTTGTCTGCTGATTCTGTGTATCTGCTTGGTGCATCTGAGAGGAACCAGGGCACAAACATTGGCCAATTTCCAGAGGAAAGAAATGTTGGGCATTACACTATTGTAAATTATTTCCACCCTATTATGCCTACTCTCAATTTTTTTTTTCTCCAAACATAGGACAGAGGAGTTTCTGACATCTCCCATTCTCTAACATTGGCATCTTATCTGAAAACTAAGCATTTTTAAAGCCTAAGGAAATGATGAATAACAAAAGATTTAGAGCAAATTGTAGTTATATATATGTTTGTACCTCTTGAAAAAGAAAGGAAAACATGTAGACGGTTTTTAAACAACCTCTCTTGTTTGGGCGACAATGTTTAGGCACAGTCCACTTCACCTGAGGTAGATGTCTTTAATCCATGATCATATGCTGACTGTTGGATGGATATACATTCAGAGAGAGGCCTGTGGCATGTTCTCACTACTTTGGGATGGCTCTGGCCTGGGGTGGCTCTGGCCTGGTTCAGCACTCTAATCCCCTCTGTGGCTCCACACAGTGCCTGGCACTCAGTATCTTATGTGTAACAGCTAGTACTTTACCCCACAACACTCAAGGGCAAGAAACATCATTTCCTAAATCAAAATCAAGGCACTGTACCTTGATATGAAATTTAGGCTGAGTTCACTTTCTTTCTTTCTTTTTCTTTTGTTTTTTGTTTGTTTGTTTGTTTTTTGAGATGGAGTCTCGCTCTGCCACCAGGCTGGAGTGCAGTAGCGCGATCTTGGCTCACTGCAACCTCCAACTCCCTGGTTCAAGCGATTCTTCTGCCTCAGCCTCCCAAGTAGCTGAGATTACAGGCACGCACCACCACACCCAGCTAATTTTTGTATTTTTAGTAGAGGCGGGGTTTCACCATGTTGGCCAGGATGGTCTTTATCTCCTGACCTCGTTATCCACCTGCCTTGGCCTCCCAAAGTGCTGGGATTACAGGCGTGAGCCACCGCACCCGGCCACCACAGCCACTTTCTAAACTGATACTTGTTCCAACTTGCCTACAGCCCCCTTGAACTCCTATGGTTCTCTAACCTCCTCTCTGCCTTCCTAGCCCCAAGAACTTTCTCCAGCCAACCTCTTTGAATTATTCCAAATTCCTTTTGCATAATTATGCATTATTAACCTTTGGGAATTGATTTTACAGAGAGTGTTTAAGGGGAAAGGGTTAAACATTCTCCCTCACCTCACCCTACTCTGGAGGAAGATGCTGAGTGAACATCTCTTCTCCCAAAGCTGAAAGAAAGATGCTTCTGCCTGCACCCATATTTCTTCCCAAGGAGACACAATTATCTCCCACACTTCCCTTCCCAGCAAGCAACAAGACAACACTGGCCCTGATATATACGGGCAGCTGGCGGGCTCCCTGTGCTGGATAAGGATGCATCTGAGAGCTGCCGTCCCTAAGTCATCTCCCCTCCCCCTCGCCTCTGGGGAGGAATCTCAATGAGGAAGGCAAAGCCCAAGGAGGCTGGGAAATCCTGGACAGGCACCCAGTTTCTCCATCCATCCAAACCTAGGACCCAGGGCTTGACAGTTCCTCCCCCAAAAAGTAGGATTGGGACCCAGAAGGACCTAATAGCTCCTGCCTGTTCCTACCTGCCTGTTCCCTGATTCCCACCTGTTTCTACCTCATTCCTGACCTCCCATTCCAGCCACAGTGAGCAGCTCAGCATCTTATCCATCCTCCATGCCTTTGCCCAGTCTGTGTTCTCTGCCTGGAATGCTGCTTAGTATCTTAGACATCTGTTCCTTCAACATGCACTAAGTAGCTACATTAGCACTACTAATGAAACGCTGAATAAGACGAGAAAAAAAAAAAAAGAAATTTAGGCTGAGTTAAGTTTGGGAGGGAACTATCCCTGGGAGACAAACAGAAAGCTCTAAGGCTGCTATCTTGAACAACTAACTGGTCAAGGCCCTAACTGAAGTCCATTGTGACCACCACTTGTGATGCTCTCTGCCTTTGGCTTTGGATTCCACTTGAAGACATGGGACTCCATGTCAAGACTGGACACAGAAGTCCTTGTCACACCTGTGGCTGGTCTCCCTGGCTACACCATGCAGCCATTCATTCCCCCACTCAGGGGTCTGCTAGGAAGGACAGCCCTGGAAACACCTCCTAAACCCAATCTTAGTCAGACATCTCCCAACTTCTTGTCCAGGCATCAGCCTCTCTCCGCCTCCAGGAAAATTCCAGATTAATTCTTTCATGGGCCTGTCCATCTTTTCATACAAAGGCCTGAGTGGAGGTGACTTCAAGAGCCGTCTTTACGCAGTGGCTCACGCCTGTAATCCCAGCACTTTGGGAGGCCGAGGCGGGCAGACCATGAGGTCAGGAGATCGAGACCATCCTGGCTAACACGGTGAAACCCTGTCTCTACTAAAAATACAAAAAATTAGCCGGGCGTGGTGGTGTGCGCCTGTAATCCCAGCTACTCGGGAGGCTGAGGCAGGAGATTGGCATGAACCCGGGAGGTGGAGCAGTGAGCCGAGATTGCGCCACTGCACTCCAGCCTGGGTGACAGAGCGAGACTCCGTCTCAAAACAAAAAAGAAAAGAAAGAAAAAAGAGTGGCCCTTAAACACAGAGACACTGTTAGATCTCCCAGAGGAGTGAAAATAGCTTAGACTTACAAGATGAACACAGAAACATTGCCTTTCCATTCTTTAAATTCTCCCCTTGCTGCAAGAACGAGACAAAAATGAATGTCACCACAAATGACCTTGCCACATATGTTTGAATCAAAGAAGTACACCAAGCAGTTCCTTGTTTCATTTTTGCTCAGGGCCTGTTCCAAGGCTGGAGACTCGGCTGTGTTTCTAGTCACAAAACTCCCCAGCACACCCTGCTAACTCCTCATTGCCTGAGTTTTATGTTAATCGGCTGACATTACATTTGAAAGTAGTTTCATTTTCCTCAAGACTTCTTCCTCTGGGCACCATAAATACAAGTAAGTCTTGGCTTCAGAGCTTGCTTGTGTGTGAAATCCTTGCCTCAGAATGAGCGTTTCTGGGTGTAAACTCTAATTGGAATTTGTTATCACCGGAAACACTAGAGATGCACCACTGCTTGGCAGTTCTTTCCAAAGTTTGTGACTGATTTCCTCTTTCACCCTTCACTATAACTGTGCAAATCTTCACTATTCCTCAACCCCACCATGTCCTCCTAACTCTAAATGTGTGAACATGCCCTCAACTTTACAAAGAAAACAGAAGCTCTCAGACATGGCCATCCCCCCAGCGCATCATCTCCTTTTATGCTTCCTTTCAGGGAATGAGAGATGGCTTCTTACCAAAGCTAATTCCTTCACCTGTGCATTTTCCTCCCTCTCTCTACCACAGCGATGGGAGCAGTTAGCAATACTTCAGCGATTGTGGCAGAAAACTTACCTCAAAAAGGCTGTGTTACCTTATAAAATTAATAACCCAATCAAGAGATCTACTGTACAGCATGGTGACTATAGTTAATAACAATGTATTATATTCTTGAAAATTGCTAAGAGAATAGATTTTAAATATTCTTACCACAAAAAATAAATATGTGGCATAATGTATATGTTAATTAGCTTGATGTAGCCATTCCACGAGATACACATATTTTGAAACATGCTGTGCATGATAAATAATACAATATTTATTTGTCAATTAAAACAAATGAAAATAAATTAAATAACCAAAGGAAGGACTAGCTTTCCTGGGCTGGGACATTGTCACCAGGAAGCGGTTTCTCTCCATCTCTAAGTTCATCTCTGCTCACCCTTGTGTGTTGATTTCATTCGCAAGCTACACAGCCTGACAAGAGGGTGATTTCTGCTCCAATCTACAATTCCAAATTCAAGTCGAGAAAAAAAATTCTGCTTCCCTGATAACTTGAACCAAGAGTCCTTGAACCCAGATTCATTGGAACATTACTTGCCTGACTTTGGTATGTACCCACCTCTGGGGAAGGCGACGGTGCTCTCACTGATGGGCTGGGCCTGGGCCACATGCCCCCATGGAAGTGGGAGAGTTGCAGTTGACACTATTGGAATTTCATGGACTCAGATTAGGGGAGGTGGTTCACCTGGAGAAAGAAAAATGGATGCTGGGTGGCTAAGGGAACATGTGCCCTCTGAGAGGGACTTTGCTACATCATATACTACCTGGATCCCCTACTTCCTGAGTCCTCAACCCCACTCTGTCTCTCCTGGCTCCTCCTCCCTGACCCATACATTCTGGAATCTCTCCTGCCTTTGAAAACCACTTTCGATTTTATGTGTTGTTCTAGCTGTGGCTCTCTTGTCTTCCCTTCACGTTATAAGATCTTGAAAAAGTTGTCTGGTTGTATGTTTTCTCCTCACCTTACACTCAGTGCTCCATCCTCTGCAGTTTGATTTTGACCCCCATGACTCCACTGAAACTGCTGTCACAAAGACCTTCAATAATCAAACTAGTCATAAAAAGCAGAAGCAATAAATTCCCTTTATACCAGTAGTTTTCAAACTTTCGTTTGCATCAGATTTACCCCCGGGGCCTGCTAAGACTCAGGTTATTCCTTAGATTCTCACCCCTAGATTCCGACGTTGGCGACTTCTTAGACTTTTGTTAGAAATTGTTTTTCTCCCAAGTTCCCAGGCGATGTTGCTGCTGTGGTTGGTTCAGGAACCATACTTTAAGGTCTACTGGTTTATACCAACAATAAGCAGTTAGAACAGGCCATTTTAACTGCCTAAAATAAACTAAGCTATTAATGTGTATGATCTTATATAACTTTATTGAATAACATTAAAGATAATATGACTAAATGGGGAGATCTACTCTATAGTTATTTTTTCTAGATATGAAGACTGATCATTTCAGTCTTCAGCAACAGAAAGCTCCGTTGTAACGTTGTTATAGTCTCTTAAATTAAATAAAAATCAAATTTGGAGCATCAATGGAAAAAATTTAAAATTGTGGGTCCTTAAGAAAGGTAAGAGAATTGAACAATGAGAACACATGGACACAGGAAGGGGAACATCACACACTGGGGCCTGTTGTGGGGTGGGGGGAAGGGGGAGGGATAGGATTGGGAGATACACCTAATGTTAAATGACGAGTTAATGGGTGCAGCACACCCACATGGCACATGTATACATATGTAACTAACCTGCACATTGTGCACATGTACCCTAAAACTTAAAGTATAATAAAAAAAAGAAAAGTAAAAAAAACAAAAAACAACAACAAAAAAAAGAAAGGTAAGAGAAACAATTTAGGAAGTATATTGCCTACATTTTCTTATTTAAAATGTGCAAATACCCTTTGAGGAATGTGTTATAATTCCCATTTATCTGAAGAAGAAACTGAAGATCAAAAGTAACTACTTTTAAGGAAAAAGGAAGGAACAGAACTAAGTATAGCTGGCTCCAGAGCTCTCTCCTCTCCTCTACACTGTGAAATGGGCAAGTACACACTCAGTGCTCAGGAATGCTCGCTATTGTTGTACTGCTATTGGTGATGGTAACTCTCAAAAGAAGGTATATTAATAATTCTTTTTCTGATTATAAAAATAGCCTACACTTTTTATAGAAAATTTAGGTAATATTGAGCAGAGAGAAAATAACCGCGAACACTAATAATTCAAGCACTCAGAGATGTCCACTGTTAACAGTTTGGTGGTTGGTACTAGAAGTTAAGCTCCACAAGGGTGGCCATCTTTATCTATCTAGTTGAATGCTATATTTCAAGGGCCTAGAATCATGCCAGGGCCATATACTAAGGGCTCAATAAATATTGGCTAAATGCATGAGTAGATGGATAGCTTTGGAGTCTTTTTCATTTATGCATAAATGCATGTGTCCACATATAACTAGAATATATTTGCAAACTTGAATTTATATTCTACATGTAGTTTTTTTTATCCTGTTTGTTTCAAAGGCCATTGACTTTTTATATAAAAAGTGGACAGATTGATGGAGTATTCCGTCACTTTTTGGTGGACTGAGAAGGTGAACTAGGTTCACCTGTAGCCCTAGAATAATGTAAGTCTATTTTTATTTGTTTACAGAAAAAAAAAGAGCTCTAAACCTTAATTTCCTCACCTGCAAAATAAAGTAAGCTTACATGATCTCTAGGATTTCCTTCCATGATGTGGGATTTATATAATGAGAGAGACTTTATTCATAATATTTTACGTTTTCTTTACAGATGCTCTTAATAGTATTGAGAATTCCATTTATAGAACAGCCTTCAAATTACAATCAGTGCAAACTCTGTGCCAGTGTAAGTATAGGCTCTCCTGAAATATTTGAAATAATCTGAGCTTGATGTGCGATGTAAAATTCATAGAGAAAACAAACACTCCCCCCATGCAGCTGACTACTGGATTCTGGAAGTCTGGACTTGTGCATTTAGCCCATTCGTGACAGAGAAGATGGAGGATGGGAAAACATCACGTGCAGGCAAACCATGTGTAGTTTTGCTGATGAGCAATAGAAATAATTGTGCATGAGGATTTTTAATTTTTTAAATATTTTCTCCACTTGGCTTCTTCTAGAAAATGTTTTTGGTTTCCTTTTCAGGATACCAATATGGACACAAAATAAAATTGCAAAAAAAAAGTATTTTCAAAACTGCACTTATAGATTTAAGTATAAAAATATAAAATTCCATCTACCACGTAAGATTTGCATTTTCAAGTTGTACCTATAATCTATATATGAACATGCAAAAGTAGGTACAAATGAATAAATAACCCATGGACCATGAATTTTAAAACTATCTCGAGAATTCCCTGAGAACTGCCCCTTTTTGCAGTAAATTTATATCTGATTGAATGTATGGTTTTCTTTTCTTTTCTTTTCTCCTACTGTTATCTAGGCAAAATAAGGTAAAATGTTTTTACTAAAACATGTATCCTGTGAAAATTTTCCAAGGTGAAAAATAAACTGGGTCCAAGCTATGAAACACATCAGGCATTCAGCATATCTAAAGTTATTGATTTCTCACTGCATGAAAGAAAAATCACTTCACGTAAAATGATTTCTGAAATTTATCATATCAGACCTAAGAGAAGTTATGTTATATATATGACATTTCTACTGAAGGCTGACATTTAAAAATATTTTTCCTCCTGCCTAAAAAGTTATATAGGGCAGTGGTTTTCAAATTGGGCTTCACAAAATATATGTGAATGTAGGGTAGGGCAAAAAAGAGTTAGCCAGGTGGGAAGAGGAGTTGCAAGCAAGGTGGGACGATTCAAAGACCACATCCTCAGCAGGAACAACTCCATCCTTCTCTATTTTCCATACCGTGTTTGCTTGTATGTGTGTGTGTGTGTGTGTGTCTGTGTGTGTGTAAGCTGGGGTCTCACTCTGTCACCCAGGCTGGAGTGCAGTGGAGGGATCTCAGCTCACTGCAACCTCTGCCTCCCAGGCTGAAGCCATCCTTCCACCTCAACCTCCCGAGTAGCTGGGACCACAGGCGTGAGCCACCACACCCTGCCAATTTTTTGTATTTTTAGTAGAGACAGGGTTTCGCCATGTTGCCCGGGCTGGTCTTGAACTCCTGAGCTCAACTGATCTGCCCACAGTGGCCTCCCAAAGTGCTGGGATTACAGGCATCAGCCACCGCGCCTGGCCTTATACTGTGTTTCTGTATTAGGTTCCTTTGAAGAAGAAATTTTTGGTTTTAAAAACAGTTTTATGTAGATTACTGCTCTAGATAAAGAAACTCACTTATAACTATTATTTATTATTCCAGGAACAAACAAAAAGCTAAAAATTTACCCCCAATTATGCATTTTCCTGGAGAATTTCTCCCATTAGAGAAAGTTAGCAGCAATTGTTCACATGTCCCAGTCACGAATGCCTGAGTATGTTCCGTAGCGTAATTTGTGGATGCACAGTTTTCAACTTTTTGTTATCTCTGGCATCAGAAACAGTGAATATAAATAACACTCATGGGAAATATTAACAATACACAAAATCAGTGGTTGAAAAATGTTACCTAGAAAAGATATCCAAACAAAAATTTAAAAACAGAAAATCCCAAACACTGAGATAAAGCATAACATGAGCTCCAAATAGGAAGATCGGGGACACATCGCTGTATAAATCTTGTGGTGAGATTAATGGACACCACTATTATCTGGTTTGGTGTAATATAGAACTCTCAGCAGGAGATGAAATCGGCCTGTGTTCAGAATGCCTGGCTGAGGTGACAGGTTTTAACGATAAAAGAGTTTACAGCCTTCACCACCTGCAGCCAGGTTTTTATTTAAGTCACATTCTGAAACTTGTTCCTCTGTTCCTTAGACTCTCCTCTTAAAAGCAATATCAGAGAACAAATAAAAATTTTTATTATACTTGCTAGATTTCTTATCTGAGGTTGATTTACGAAGTAGAGAGAAACCCAGGGTTTTATGGTTTCACAGGCTGAAGCGTTTTAAATGCCAGGAGCTCTTGGCGCTCTTGATATCCCCACCTCTCAGATGGTGCAAGTGGCTGTTTATTAATTTTGTCTGTCATCCTCTCTCTGCAAGAAGCTATGGGGTTAGCTCTATTACATTCTTGTTTCTATTCATTGCCTTGTAAAAATTTTAGGAGAAGGTGGTTAAAAAATATTCAGTATAAGAAATAAACCATTATTTTTTGTAAGCAGCTGTAGTTTTATTAAGTGCCTTCTCTAGATAATAATACTGATGGAACCAAGATTGTTAACAGTGGTATTACTGAGTTGCAGAATTCTCAGACTCTTTAGCCTAAAGATCTTTACAGAAGAGTAACTGCTCTTTTATGAAGATCACTGTTTTGTATTTAACTACGGCAATTGCTTTTCAACACACCATATTGCTTCTGAAGCTGGGCTGCAGACAAGAAAAACTATATTTGAACAGGAAAGGTAAATTTATTCAATCCACTTAATGAAGAGTATAAAAATGTTTTCCCCAACTTTTTACCACAGTGTCATAACTTTCTTGGAAAGCGTATTTTTCGTTTCTCACTTCCCTTTTTAACTTCTTTCTATAAAACAACATCCTAGAAACTGTACTGGTAATAATGTTACAACTATGCTTTACTAACAGATGCACCTTTCCAAAATCAAATGAATCGCTAGAATAGTAACGCCTGAAGTATACACAAGGAATATATGTCCAAATAGTAGTCATATTTCATTCCCCTTAAAAGAAAATAGCGACCATAAAAAGTCTTAATTATAAAACACCAAATGACATTTGCTTTATTTGAAGCCTTTTGTTCCCATCAGAAAATAAGGCTCAATTCTTCATTTGCTTCCTACAGTGGACTTGATTGACAGCTCCCTGATTCAGCAGGTCCTACTGCGTCCAAGTTTCTGGGAAGCTCGCAAGCACTCCCTTTCTGTGCAGCAACTTTCTCAGGCACTCCAAGAGCTGTTTCAGAAGGCCAGGGAGGAAAACCCAGGACAAGTGCATCCCAGAGCTCCGGAACTCACTCTGAGCCTTCTCACGACAATGTACAACAGGTGAGGGTGTGGACGTCGCGCTGTGACCTCAAAGGCAAAGTTTAGTTTCCAGTGGTCATTTACCATTTGGTGCTGGCTAATATTTGCTTGAGGTTTGGTATATAAGAAGTCTTCTTTGTTTGTTTTTCACAAATTTATTCCTCAGGAGTAGAACAAAGGAGTAAATGCCCATCGGCTTTAGGAATATAAATGACCCATGGATAGCAAAAAGAGGGAGAGAATTCCACATTATTCTTTCCTTCAGACAAATTCACTCCTACTCTAGAGAAGCATACACACCTTTTGCTAGGGCGTTTACACTTCCATATACACATGTGAAAAGCGACACTTAGTTCTTGCTACTGCTAGCTTCTTTGCTGATTTCTTTGTAAACCATTATCAATTGTTTTTTTTTTTTTTTTAGCTAGAATAAGGTTGAAAATCCTGTGCATGGATGGGTAACCTATAAACCAGTGTAGACCATGTCAAAGGGCTGATTGCATATGCTCTGAAGTCAATAGTTCTGCTAGTGTGTGGTAGGGGTGCGTGTGTTTTTTGAGCTGTAAGGTTTCAATTCCTCTGCCCCCTCCTCGATTTGGTTTACCTTATGTATCATTGACTCAGTAGACTTCATCCTTTAGAATTCATCCTTTAGAATAAACTTTTCAAAAATCATAGTGAATTCAAAACATTTGGAAAGTAGACGAAAAAAGTAAAGAAGAAGAAATACATTATCACCCATCAGCCTGCCTCCCAGAGGCAAGCACTGTTTTAACCACTGGGCAAATTCCTTACAGTTATTTTCTCTTCTAGTTTTTTTTTTTTTTAATTTTTTTTAACTGCCCAAACAATATATACATACATTCTCAAGTTATTTTTTCATTTCAGCTTCCTTAAACATTAAGCTTTTGACTGTCATTTCTATTATCTGTGCCTGTCTCTAACAATTCCCCTGCCTTCGATAAATTGTTCAGTACGTTTGTAAACTAGACAGCAAGTGGGCAAGGATGATTAGGCTCTGAGTGAGGGCCTGTGAACTAGATTTTTTTTTTCTTTGCATAAATATTTGTTCCTGTGCCTGCCTTTTGGTCCTTCCTTATCTCTGTTGCTTGGTTTCCAGGCAACTGAGGCCCGAGGAAGTGATGCTACCTGCTCCATGAAAACAGGGTTTATCCCTGCATCCCTGATGCCTGGTACAGTGCTTAGCACAGAGGAGGCATCCAATACATATTTTGGAGTGAATGCAGGAACAAATAAATGACTGGTGAAATATGTTAATTCAATGCTCTGTTCTGCTAAATTCTAGGTATAGGATAAGAGGCCACAAAAAGTTGGAACTTATAGCACCATATCAGAAATGCCCATTAATAGTTATGGTTTTTATCATCCATTACACCAAAGGTAACCCTGGCCTTCCCATTCTTGTCTCTGTATTTTGTTACTGTGCAGCAAAGGAACAGGTTTTCTCCAGCTTATGCCTGCGGCCGCTGCCCTAATAACCCTCTCAGGAGACAGCCCTCTTTCAAAATACCGAGGTAACATGCAGAGGACTGCGGGTGTCCTAAAGTGCAGTGAGCCCCAAATCCCCAACCTGTTATCCTATATCCCTGCCACAAGGCCTCTTCAGCATGTACTCAGCATGACTTATGTGTTTATTAAATAAAAATATTTACTATTTGAGGACTTTGGAATTTTTCAAAATTTACACTTCCTAATTACTTGTTTCTTGGTTGTTCTTGATATTTATTTGTTTAGGGATTACCTAGACACCCGTAATTATTATTGGTTTGAAGCCTGGGAGGATCCTCACATTTCTGTTTACCAACCTCATGATCTTCTTCCTAGATGTACTGAATGATCAAGGTGTTGAAATGTGAATGGGTTTCCGTTAGTTATCAAATTACGGTTATTACAAAAATCATAGTGACCGGACGTGGTGGCTCATGCCTGTAATCCCAGCACTTTGGGAGGTCGAGGCGGGCGGATCACCTGAGGTTGGGAGTTCGAGACCAGCCTGACAAACATGGAGAAACCCTGTCTCTACTAAAAATACAAAAAATTAGCCGGGTGTGGTGGCACACGCCTGTAATCCCAGCTACTCTGAAGGCTGAGGCAAGAGAATCGCTTGAATCCGGGAGGTGGAGGTTGCAGTGAGCCAAGATTGTGCCATTGCACTCTAACCTGGGGAACAGGAACAAAACCTCATTTAAAAACAAAATAGTTTTGGAGGCCTTCATAATAGCTAGCCAATAATCAAGAACATAACTTTCCCTTCTCTTTCCTTTCATAGCCACAAAGAGACTGTTACTTCAAAGCAAGTACTCTTCAAAGATACATTGCAAGTATTCAATTTAAAGATTGTTCCTCCTACATGTCTAGCTCTTTTTCAACTCTATGCAGAAAATAGCAGGGGAGGCTATGATTCTGGGCCACGCATGACTCGAAGGGTTTTGAGAAAACTACTAACAGATCTACAGCAGGTAAATTCCTAATACTTAAGAACTGTACATTTGTTTCAGTTAATTTGCCACATTTATTATTAAAGAATCTGATGTCTCCAGTGTCAAGTCTATCTTTATATATAACTCCATGCAAGCTCTCTCCTCCATAGCCATTGCTGTTACTTGAATATAACTTAACTTATACTCATAAGGTTATGAGTAGAAGGTTATGAATTATACTCATACTCATGAGGCTAAAGATAATGTTGTCTATAGATAAGAATTATTTGCATTGCTGTAAGTTTGCTACAAGTTAACTTTACTCTCTCTAGAGTTGTAAAATAGCTTAGCAAAGACAATGATGTATCTGTCTATAGGTACAGATAATCACCACTGAAAACATATCCAATAGTCTCTTTTGCTTATTCCAAAGTATTTAATTTTTCCTTACACCCCATACCTTTTTCACTCCTACATATTAAAATTTGTGCCTGACATGCACCAAGTTCTCCATGCCTGACTTCTGCATTTCTATCTACCCACAAGGCCATTGCCTATCCTTTCACTTAACAAACTACTCCTCTTTCAATATCTCTCAATCATTTGTCACCTCCTTGCTCAAAGCTTCTTTGACTTCCTATGCATAACTTTGTTGCGGCACTTGTCAAATTATGGTAGATGATGCTTCCCCACTGGACTGTTTCATTTTTATATCTCCAGTGACTTGAACAGTGCCTGATACTAAAAGACATCAAAAAAATGCTTAAAGAATGCATAGATGGAGTGCCATGTCGAGTACTCAAAATTATTTCCATCATTTCCTGTGGTTTAAGAATGTGTACATTTGATTTGGTTTTTATTCTTACTAGGCAAGGGAATTTAACCTCCTTAAAGATGTTTTTTAAATGTTAAAATGATGTAAATTGATGTAACCAAGCAAGAAGTTCTGCAAAAGGATTAAACAGGCTCTGGATTGTCTTGCGTGTGGGTGCTGTTGTCCTGTTGTACCCTTACCCTTGTTTTGAAGGATGTCTCCATTCTTCCAGCTCCTACAAAATCCCCATGCTAGATATTCTGGACTGTAATGACTTAGGAACTTTCTGTCACTTTTCTCTTGGTTCTGGACCAAGGATTCTGAACTGAGGATAGCCATGCATGATGGGAGCAAGGGCGGGATAAGGAGGAAGATAATAAAAATCTCTAGGACAGGGAGTATGGATTGGAAAAACCTATTCAGAATTATCTTTGCTTTGATTTGGTTTCAATATTAATATTTTGTGTTCATGATGATGACAATAATTAATATTTAACTTAAATTCCAAACATCATTTATATATTTCTTAAATGGAGCAATGATTTTTTTTTTATTTATAAGGTTAGAATATCAGGCATAGATACTTCTGAGCTGCACTGGTAGTTGCAGCAGCCACATAGATCCCACCATCAAACGTTCTACTGACTCTAAGGCATTTCTCAGGGAGTCATCATAAGTTGCAGGCTCACTTCCACCCATCTCATATCACAAGACTCGAGCAGGTGGGGGCCTGGGAAGGCTGGACAGTCTGTCCGCCCATTTGTGCAATCAGACTGGTGAGACTGGAGTGCTTAGAAGCGGATGTGATGAAAGGGGATGAGCTGAGGGACATTTTCCTTCTAGAGAACTCTTTGTGCTCTCCTGACTACTTGGTCCAACAGGCTCTAAAAATCTGCCCTTGTTTCAGGTTCAAATGAGGTCAATGAGCTGCTGAACTAGAAGCTCCCTCAGCACTCCGCCCCTACCCGCACCCCAGGCATCAGTATGCTCCTGAGAAGGTCTTAGGAAGCTGGAGATTTGCATAGAAATTATCATCCCATTGACTGCTATTACAGACTCAGAAATGGATTCTCAGAGAAAATTCCAGGCCCCACTACATGATTCAAATCCCCCCCTAAACATCATAATTATCGTTTCAAGTGGTGTCTGCCTGTGCCGGTGTGCCATCTAGCCATGTTTAATTCTTCCTAGAACACCTGCAAGAAATTAGTCACTTGGGCCATTCATCCGCAAAATCTTTATGCACATCTTTATAGGCAAAAATGTAGGTTGAAAACCCACTACAGAAGTGAATTTTCTTTGTACTAGTGTTAGAATCACAGAGCTGGTGAGAGTCATCCTATGTTATCCACCCACCTTATTTTACAAATGAAGTAAAACTCCTTTCCCAGGGCTCAAGGACATCAGAGGAGGGTGAATGTTGGATCAACAACACAGTCTAAATAAGTGGTCCAGTTAGTTCATCAGCACTCACAAGCCAAACGATGGGTAATGAGTTATGCTTTCAGACAAAGGCTAAATAACATAGGGAGTAGTTACTTACATTCGACTGGCAACAGGATTATTATCAATTTAAAGTACAAGCCATCTTGTCACTATTACACAAATGTTTGTTGACTTCTGCCTGGCTAATTGTCAGCAAAGAGGTTCTGAGTGCCACTTTCCTGATTAGAAGAACGTTTATTCGAGTTGATGGACTCAGCAGGAGGGTCTCTGAGATTACTTCTGAGCTTGCAGGCAATGCCTGCTGACAGCCTGTGCTGTAGAAGACATCAGATGTGAAATTAGGACCCGTGACCAAATGGGAATAAATGGAGGTGACAGGTACATGTATCTGTGCATATAGATGATGTCAGAGCCAAGTCCCTGGCCATCTTGGCAGTCACAAAAGGTTCTTAGTGCCTTAATTGAACGCCTTATGGTGACTGTGGCTGAAAGTTGGAAACCACTGAGTGTGGTGGCACAGATTGAGCCGTTGAAATATATGTAAGGTCGGGCTGTGATAAAGCTTCATGGAAACTCCTCAAGAAAGAGTAAGAGTCCTGGAGTGAGACCCCAATTCTGCTGCTAACTTGCTTTTTTGACCTTGAGCAAAATATCAAATCTCAATTACTCTTGGCTTTATTTTTTGAAAACTATTAATTGATAATCAGAAACTGTATATATTCAAGGTGTACGACATGATGTTTTGAGATAGATATACACTGCATAAAGATTAACACAATCAAATTAATTAACCCATCTGTCACCACCATCATTGCCATCTCATGGTGTTGGGGGGTTTGAGGATACTTCAAACCTGCTCTTGTTTCAATTCTCAAGTAAACAATACAGTAGTATTACTAGTAGCCATGCTGCAATTAGATTCCCAGAATTTATAAATCTTATAACTGAAAGTTTCTACCCTTTAATCAACATCTTCTCATTTATCCCTGTCCTCAGCCCCTGGCATCCACTATTCTTCTGTTTCTATGAATTCAATGTTTTTAGATTCCACATGTAAGTGCGATTATGTGGTATTTGTCTTTCTGTGCCTGGCTTATTTCATTTAGCATATTGTCCTCTAGGTTCATTCATGTTGTCACAAATGACAGGATTCCCTTCTTTCCTAAGGCTGAGTACTATTCTGTTGTATATTACATACCACATTTTTTATTCATCTGTCAATGGACACTTAGATCGTTCCAGAAACTTGGCTATTATGAAGAGTGCTACAGTGAACATGGGAGTGCCGATGTCTCTTTGACAAACTGATTTCCTTTCCTTTCATCCCTTGCTTGTTTAAACAAGGGTAGTAATTACCATCCTACCTCAGAAATTGGCATTTCTTAAAATGATGTGATATGAAAGTGTTTGGAAAGGTTTTTCTCAAAGCCACTCTAGGCTTGTCCAAAGGTAGTGAGTTATCTCAGTAGATTGTTTAGTCAGTTACAGATTGAATACAGATTGAACTTCTTGATCTACTCTTTCCTGCTTCTCACTACTGCACTTGAATAGTCTTAAAAATATGTATATATACAATAGCAAGGACTTGGAACAAACCCAAATGCCCATCAGTGATAGACTAGATAAAGAAAATGTGGCACATATACACCATGGAATACTATGCAGCCATAAAAAACAATGAGTTCATGTCCTTTGCAGGTACATGGATGAAGCTGGAAACCATCATTCTCAGCAAACTAACACAGTAACAGAAAACCAAACACTGCATGTTCTCACTCATAAGTGGTAGTTGAACAATGAGAACACATGGACGCAGGGAGGGGAACATCATACACTGGGTCCTGTCAGAGGGTGGGGTAAAGGGAAGGGAGAGCATTAGGACAAATACCTAATGCACGCAGGGCTTAAAACCTAGATGAGAGGTTGGTAAGTGCAGCAAACCACCATGGCACATGTATATCTATGTAACAAACCTGCACGTTCTGCACATGTATCCCAGAACTTAAAGTAAAAAAAAAAAGTATATATATTTTAAAACTCTAAACTTTAAGACAGTATTATTGTGATCTTCATTTCATAGGTGAACAAAGGCAAAGAAAGGATAAAATAATTTGGAATCACAAGAAAATAAAACAGAAGGAAGCAGTTTATCACCTCATTGGCAGACTTCCTTCCCTTCCCCTCCTCCCTCCTCTCCTTCCCACTTGCTTATTCATTGTCTTAACCCAAACATTGCACAAAACCCACGCATTTCTTTGTTCTCTTGGATTGAGACAGTTCACCTCGTCTCAGATACCAAATACTTGTGACTACACAGCCGTGGGCACCAGCTCTCAGCCCTGCTGCTCCCGGAGACGACATATTTCTCCACTTTCTAACAGCTAAGATGAGGTTGTCTCTTGCAGATCCCAACTTTCGTGGGAGAGAGTCGTGCTCTGTGCCCTGTGGAAAGTGCCACCCGCAGCTGTTTCCAAGGGGTGAGTGCCTTGCAAATGTCCCTGGAGTTGGGGACAGACACGGTGTATTGGGATAGTTTGCTGACTGATTTACATTACAGACCTATTATTACTCCACATAGCATCTCAGATAACTGAATTTAGGAGGTAGTCTCACCTCCAGCTTTTCCTATGATAAACTTCTTCAGCAGAACTGACAGAATTAGAGTCAGAAAAGAAAATGAAAATATCAAGTCGTGCCTAAAAACACATCTTAGAGTGCCATTGTTTTTCAGGTGTTGAGCCCAGCAATCAAAGAAGAAAAATTCCTGTCTTGGGTCCAATCTGAGCCTCCCATCCTCCTGTGGCTCCCGACCTGCCACCGGTTATCAGCTGCTGAAAGGGTCACTCACCCTGCTCGGTGCACTCTCTGCAGGACTTTCCCAATCACGGGACTCAGGTACAGTCATCAGCAGCATTTCTTGGATTATCATTCTCCATATGGTTCTACAGTTGGAGCTGCATCCCTTCAGATTCTTTTTGGGGTCCTCCTTACACATCTGAAATTCAGTTGACTTTTTTGGCTCAATGATTTCCTGGCAAGAGGCATCCTGGTTGATAATAAATTGTCTTTTATCTTCTATAATGGATGAAATATTAAATTCTTCCACTGACGCATAATGTGACTAATAGACATTTTTCTTCCTCTAAGGGGAATACATTTTGTCTTTGTTTTGTTTTGCTTTATTTTGTTTTTAGAGACAGGGTCTCTGTCACCCAGGCTGGAGTGCACTGGCACTATCATAGCTCACTGCAGCTTCAAACCCCTAAGCTGAAGTCATCCTTGCAGCTCAGCCTCCTGGGTAGCTGGGGGTACAGGCACATGCCACCATGCCCAGCTAATTTTCTATTTTTTGTAGAGATGGGATCTTATTGTGTTGCCCACACTGGTCTCCAACTCCTGATCTTAAGTGAACCTCCTGCCTCAGCCTCCCAAAGCATTGAGTTACATGTGTGAGCCACTGCATTTGGCCTGTCTTTTGCTCCAAAGAAACCTTTTAAATTTTGGAGCCATGCATCATCATCATCATCCTAACAACACTACTTTTGTTAAGTGTTAGACAAATGCCAAGCTGAGCAGTTCACATGGGTCATTTCATTTAAAATGTGTTGTAAGCCTATACAAAGGGTTGTATTCTTATCCCCTATTTACAGAGAAGTTAAATAACCTACATGATTAGCAAGCCGCAGAGGCTGGCATCCTAAATCCGGAGTCCCTGCTTTGCAGCCATGATGCTCCGCTGCCTCCCTGTGCAGACAACTGCAAACAAGGCACAGACTCACAGAGATCATCAGCATTCATGAGAACAACTCAGGCTTGATCTTCTCTCCACCTGGAGCAAAAAGCAGATTTGAGAGCTAGATTTGGAGGTGGGAGATTCAAATATTTCCATAGCTTTGAGGCTAACAGTCAAAATCCCATCTTAGAGAAAGAGTGTTATAGGTCTCCCATAAATAAAACCATAGGGAAGTAAAATTGGAGTTATCATTAAAGCTTGGGAGAAGAGAAAGAAACCACCAGGTGTAGGCCAGGCATGGAAGAAGCCATTATTCACGATGAGTGAACAGGGGCTGGGGATGTGGGAAGACTAAAGCTCTGGGACATCAGGTAGCTAAATACAAGGCAAAACTGAGGGTTCCCGGAAGGAGAAGGGGACAAGAGGCCTCAGGACTCAGCTCCTGCTCACTTTGTTCCCCTTCCCTTCCCATGCTTCCTGACCCTAGCTAACCCAGAACTGAAATTGCTCCCCATGGAGGTAAAATAGGTCTGCTTGGTACACCGAAAAACTGGAGATCCGGTTTTAATTTTGCTGAGAAAATGAATTGGGTTTGCAGAGAATTTGCAGGACACAGTGAAACTTCATTCATGAAAATTCGGCAAGGAACTGAACTTTAAACAATAAAACATATAAATGAACAGGACTGTTGGAAACCAAGCAAGCAGGAACAAAGAAATCCTCATACAACAAAGAAAAATAAATTATTTATATTGGACAATGGGGAAATCTGAATATGATTTGCCATGTTATGAGTACATTATAATCATTTAACCAATAAGCAAGTATTAGTTAAGGAGTTACTGCAAGTCCTGCCCTAGGTCGAGTACAGGATTAACTTTGTAATTATATAAAACACAACTTTTACATTGAAATATGTTTTCAAAATTATTATGTATAACATAAAGCAGATACTATTTCTATTCTATAGATGACAAAAATTGAGTCTCAAAGAGTTTGAGTGACTTACTTAAGTCGCCCCTAAAAATGGCAAAGGCAGAGGCCGAGAAATGCTACCCTTCAAATATCTGTTGAGAATGAGAACAGAATTTCTTTAAAATGCCCCCATGTAAACCATCTTTCCCCTTATGCATCCAAGGCAATAAACAGGTGTCCTATATACAAAGAGCTAGGAGACCTGGGCAAGGTGTTTAACCTCTCTAGACCTCAGTTTGGGGTTTTTGTTTTTTGGTTTGTTTTGTTTTTAGTAAAATTCAGCAGGGTAGATCAAATGATGTCTGAGACTTCTTTAGCTCTAAACTTAGGATTCTATTAAAAATTGCCTGGATATATTATAATCCTAACTTTAAACTTATGTTTTGGGATCTCAAAAAACTCAACCAGTAGCTTTGGTTTTTTGGGAGATGAAGAAAGCCATGTTAGAGGGCATGCATTTGCAGATCTGCAGGTAGCAGGAAGAGGACAAAGATTTGGCCTTCTAAAGAAAGAGAAGGTGCAAAGACCATAGAGTGGCCTTAATCCAAGAAAAAAATTCTAGAAGGACATGTCAGCATTTTTGCTCTGTGATAGCCATGGAAGGTTGAAATGAAATTGGGAGAAAACCTGGGTTCTATACTGGTAAAAAACATCAACAACAGGCCAATCTCATTACCCACACAATAACCATTCTCATATACCTGTAGGTAGTTTCAGAGCACAGAGGAACAAATTTAAGGATAGAGCAGCATATTATCCTAAATAAGTTAATCACAGCCATCCAGTTAATGCTTGATAAAGCAGCCAGCATGGATGACTCATCAAATAATCCTTATAAAAATAGTTTATTATGTTGTACACTTCATTGAAAAAGTAAATGTCTTCCCATTTATGTATGTTGAACAACTTTTAAAGTTTTCTAAAAATTTTGCAAGGCCAGGAGGATAGGGTTTACTAGCTCCATTTTTCCTTAGTTGAAGAAACTAAGTCATTTATCCAACTTCATTCAACTAATGTTCATTGAAAAACCTACCATGTACCAGGCATTCTCCTAAACTTAAGTGAGCTTAAGTTTTCAATTCAACTATTAGTACTACTATAAGTAGTAATGGTGGTATGTGAATTCAAACTCAAGCCTCCTGCCTTGAGGAGTGGTGGTCTATTCTAGGATAGTGTGGTCTATTCTAGTGGTTAAAATGGCAGGCCATCAGTTCAGATAGTAACCTGGGACTCAAAATCTTCTACTACTTACTAAGTAGTTGTGTAACTTTGTGCAAGTTACTTAAACTCTCTTTAATTCAGTTTCCTCATCTGCAAAATGAGGGTAATCGTATGAATACCTGAAAGAATTTCCATGGGGATTAACTGGGTCAACACATGTACACTGCCTGCACATAGAACATGCACAAAAATGCTAGCTGCTATTATATCATCCCACATTATTTATTAATATCCTGCCATGGGAGTCAGGGTTGGAAGTACAGCAGTAAACAAGGGTAGCTGAGGGGCGATCTCAAGGTATTTACATTCTCCTGCTCCTCCTCTAAACGACTTTGATCAGACCATCAGACCTTCTGCCATCTGGCCTCAGAAGCTTTCCAAGGTGTTTTCCCGCTGTTATTCAGGGCAGTTAGCAGGTCTGATAGATTTTATGTCCTCTAAACCCTTCTTACTCATCCCAATCTTCGTTACCTTATTCCTTCTCTTCTTTCTACTTGGGATTTTCTTTGCTTTAATCTCCAGCCCAGCCTTCCATGTATAGCATGAGCCTCACTTTCCAGACCACACCAGCCCATAGGGCTCTCCCTCTGCCTCCCTGCTATACCCCTCTTCTCCATGCCTTTCACTTGGCACTTAATCACACATCACCTAATTCTGGAAGTTATTACTTCAACCTTCCATGTCAAAGTTTTGCCGCAAGATATGAAATTTAAGAGCACTGGAATCTTATCATATTTCTTTTTTGTAACCTTAAGAGAGGTGTTGAAAACCCAAATGCTTAAAAGGCAAGGCAAGTGGTATACGTGAAGGAAATAGGACAGGTAGGGACTATAGCTAGCTCAGAACTGTATGTCCAGTCTAAAAGGAGTAGCTGCTGCCTGGTTCTCACCAACTGTCACCATATGAGGACAGAGTTTTATACCACACACACTGCAGTTAGAGAAGAGAATTTACATATCAGGGGAAAAATGTATAGCTCCCTGTTATTTTATAGACAAACAACATGGTCCCACTCAAATATCCTTAAAAGTTACTAACTGATGACTGCTAGGTCTTACTAGCTCCCCACTAACATCACAATAGTTTCCTGAGTATTATGGGACACCCCTCCTAACCAGAGTGTCTCAAGACTCTCTCCGCTCCTTCTGACCACAAAGGGATTTAAGGCTGTCATTTCTCAAAAAGAAAAATTCTCCAATGTTGATGGGTCAAGAAACTTGGCTGTGGTGAGGAATTCCCCTCCTCTACTTTATATCTTTCCTACATACAGACTTCTATAAAATGACGAGTGCTTATTTTTAAATTTGTTATTTATGGCTTAATTTTCCCCAACACCACTCAGGAATACAGGCCCAATATTATCATACCCTGCAAAAGTTTAAGACAAGCCAAAATTTGATTTTATTGAAATCTATTTTTAAATTAGCTATTAAATTCAAAGAATTTGAGTGCATTGTGCAGCTGCACAAAACGCAGCTGCAGATTTAAGGGTTTATCCTAAAGGTTGTAGCACACAGCACCCTGCATATAGAAGGCACTTCGTATTTTGGGAAATAAATCAGACTTCTATACCATAGCGTATATGGCATTAATATAATGCCATTTGAAAATACTATCATATGAAGATGTATTTGAGTAAACAAACGCATTAGAGTCATTTAATAATCCTATAGTTTGGGAGAAACTTTACACTGATTTGGCAGCTCAGACATCTTCTGTATATTTTGGGTTGCTCATTCTCTACCTGGATATTCTTTTTTTTTTTTTTTTCTCATCTACTAGTGACGTAAGCTGTGCTTCTATTTTAACTGGCAGATACCGCTGTCTGAAGTGTCTCAACTTTGACATCTGCCAGATGTGTTTCTTATCTGGTCTTCACAGCAAGTCCCATCAGAAGTCTCATCCTGTCATTGAGCACTGCATTCAGGTAACATTTAATGTCACATACCAAACTATTCATTAATCAATTCAGTATAAGCTATAGCCATGAAAAAACCTTCCCTCCAGTGAAACCACAGATTCTGCTCCTGTCATACATTGCAATATTTAAGACTAAGCAAGTGGCAAACTCCACCTTGAATATCTCCCAACGTAAGTATGATTTCTTCACATTGTATGTCTCAGTGGAAGTTTTTGGCCACAAGAACAGGCCAGAGTTCAGTCTGAAGTGATTGATCAGATACTCTGGAATAGAAAATGTCAGTGAAGAGTTACAGGGAGCAGCACTGGAAATGGGTACAGATGGAAAAGAGAAGGGCTCTGATATGGCAAAAATGATGCAGCAAGACTTCTAGTTACTAACATATTTTTGGAGAATTTTTCTTTTTTAACATGTCTTTTCCTGAACCCTAAATTTCAAATATTTCTTCTTTAGGAAAAAAGAAAGATTATTATCTCAATGTTGACTGAAAAAGTATACAACTAAAACTTCACAGCTGCCTTTCAAATTTTTTAAAATTATAAATACCTAGCAAGTGAATTCAGTTCTTTGTAAGAAGAGAAACAGCATAGTACATTTTAGAAAAAAGCATTCTATTTTTTCCCAGAAAGAACATTTTCTTTTCATTACTAAATTCCAGTGAGTAAGTTTCTTCACACAGATGGCAACCTCCTCAAATACCACAATAGCGAAGGATGTTGACTAATTAACTTTGCCAAGGATAGTTTTCCCTCCTTCTCTCCTTTACATGAATGGCCTGCAAAAGTCAAGTGCCTGAATCTTGCCAAATAATTTCCAGTGGGCATTGCCTTACCCAGGTCCTCAGGTTCACAGGCCTAGGATCTACCTTCCTAGTGCTAAAAGTCTTGGATTTGTTGATGTTAGAGTGACACCATGTGGCCACTTTGTTATTACGCTTTAAATTTCAAGTGCTGAAACCCTTGAAATGAGACATCTCATTCCTTCTTTGCATTTGGTAGAAGTTCTTAACTTGGGGTGAAATAAATGGATTTCGGGTGAGCCTGTGAGTCCACTGAAATTGTATGCAGAATGGAATGTGTGAGTATTTCGCTGGAAATAAATCCATGAGTTATCATCCAATTCTCAAAGGCATCCACAACCCTAAATGTGAGCAACCACAGGCTTAGTCCTCTTTGATGCCCTCCTCTAGGTGTAGAATGCCAAATGACGGGGTTACTCTAAGGAAGAGGACTTATTGAGGGGGTTTGGGGTGTTTAATTTGGAGACTTATGCTATTTCTATGAGAATGTGAAGAAATTCAGGGACAAGAAGGAGGTAAGATTATTTTTCTGAGGACTTAAGAGAAATAATTCCAAAAACTTTCATGGTGGCCAGTCCATCCAAGTAAGGAAGGAAGACCACACGTAGACTGATCTGACGCTTTTTAAAAATGTTGGCCCTTTCAGCAGATGTCAGCAATGCAGAATACAAAACTTCTCTTCAGGACCCTCAGAAACAACCTTCTTCAGGGGCGCTGTAGGAAGAAAGAAGCAGCGAGAAGGCAGCAGCTGCTGGACCAGGTGAATCCAAAGGGTGTGCCTCACCATGCGCAGGCCAGGTGAGTGGCTGCGAGGATTGGCTGATCCCACAGAGCAGCCACCAAGGGCCCTGGGTGTTATGGTAACCGGCCAGCAATCTTTCTAATGCTGAAGATCCTAGACAAGGCAGGAGGAGGGGTGAGGGTTGGACTTCAGATATTTTTTTCCTCTAAAAAGGGCCTTTAATTTCAAAGTAGAACTAAGAGGCCACAACACCTTTTGGTGACCCATCCAGATGTTTAGAGTTATTTCTACAAATGAAACCATCAGAAAGACAAAGAAGATTTTTAATATTAGAATATTTGAATAACTTTGTTATATTCCTAGTTTTTGCTGGTTTGCTTTTGGAAGGCTAATTCAGAATTAATACTTTATTTAAAAAAAAAAAAGGAAAAGAAAGACACTCAGCATACCACCACTCACAGATGAGTGCTGTTCACATTTTAGTGTGAAACAGAGATTAACCAAAACAGGGATTATGCTATAGATACAATTTTTCATTCTTAGTTCCCAAAACATCATTTTTAATGGCCTTACTCTCTTCCTTATAAGAAAATGCCACAATTCACAAGCAATACATTATTGAACATTTGGCTATTTCCAAATGTTGCCCCCCAAAATTCTAGAGTCAACATCTCTATGCATGCATTTATCTAAATATTTTTATGTTTTTATTAAGGGAAAACTCATTCAATGAAAATCATTGAATAAAAAATTGCGAACTTGGTTAATCCTCGAAATTCAGAATGCCAAATTGTGCTCCAGAGGGGCACAGCCTGCCACTTCCAGTATATGCATCACATACCTGATCACCAACCTAAAGATGACCTTTAAAAGGTTTTTGTGACCTTCATTTTTGAAGTAGCCACTTCTTTGTAATTTAAAATAGCAGAAGATAAAGGAGAGAAACACTTTTTTTTTTTTTTTTTAGAGACAAGATCTCACTCTGTCGCCCAGGTTGGAGTGCAGTGGCACAATCATAGCTGACTGCAACCTTGGATTTTGGGACTTAAGCGATTCTCCCACCTCAGCCTCCCAGGCACATACCACCATGCTCGCTGAATTTTTATATTTGTGTTTTATAGAGATGGGGGTCTCACTATGTTACTCACAGGGGTTCTTAAACTCCTGGCCTCAAGTGACTTTCCCACCTCGGCCTCCCAAAGTGTTGAGATTACAGGCACGAGCCACCATGCCCAGCCTCATCACTTTTGAGAAAAAGAAATATTTATTCACTTCCATTTTGCCTACTAGGACTATAAGAATAGATTAGTTTAAATCAGATTGGTATTCATTTGTTAATTTCTTTTATAATTCTCTAATCTTTTCTCAGACATCCAGCAGCAAATCTCCATCTCAATCCCAGACCCCTATTTCTGTGGTCATTTTGTTGCTTTAAAGTTTGTTGTATTTTAAAATATGTTTTTATGGCTCTTTAAAGGATAAAGTACACAATGACCTCACAATTAGATGCTATCTATTATTCCTATGTCACATTTACCTATCAGGTTGTTAATCAATATATGATTAAAGTTAGATAATTTGGATATCATCTTGATGTATATCTTTAATATTGCACATAGAATTTAAATTTAAAAATAAAAACAAAGATATCAGTTTCCAGTTTATCTTTATTCTTAAAGCCAGCTATTTTTACCTTTCACTAGGAAAGTAATGATAAAATGTTAATCATCTATATATATATTGGATACTTGAGATCTTGCCCAAATTTCTATATTCCCATAGTCACATCACAAAGATCCATATATATATTTTTTTTTTAAGATGGAGTCTTGCTGTGATGCTCAGGTTGGAGTGTAGTGGCACCATCTCGGCTCGCTGCGACCTCTGCCTTCTAGGTTCAAGCAATTCTCCCGCCTCAGCCTCCTGAGCAGCTGGGATTACAGGCACCTGCCACCACAACTGACTAATTTTTGTATTTTTAGTAGAGACGGGGTTTCACCATATTGGCCAGGCTGGTCTTGATCTCCTGACCTCAAGTGATCCGCCCATCTTGGCCTCCCAAAGTGCTGGGATTACAGGTGTGAGCCACCGTGCCCGGCCTCCATACTCTTATTTGCATTTCTTTTGGCTACTGAAGTCAGACTGATCTTTTACACATTTTTGACACAAATGTGACAGCACTTCTCACCCACTCATCCCTTCCAAATCCTTATGCCTTCCTTAAATCAAATTCCTCCATCGTTTTCCCATCGTTTTTAGGCTAAAAATGAAAAGTTGTAACGTGACTTAGTCTTGGTCCTTTTGGTCCACCATCTTAATCTCTCCAGCTTCATTCCTCCTCCACAGTCTCTGTGTTCCAGCCCTGATTCTGCCTCACATATGACTAAGCCAGATCTATCCCACCCTTAAGACTTTATTTTAAAGGATTTGTCATAGTTTGTAACTACACATTTATTTATCTAACTATCTGATTAATGTCTGCCTTCTCATTTGGCTAAAAGCTCCATCAAGGAATCTGATTTCACTCCCTCTTGCAACTCCAACACCTGGCTCATAAAGTCATACAAACAATTCAATCCATCAGCAAATCTTGTTGGTTGTACCTTCAAAATAGATTTGAACTCCGAGTGAGTCTCATTATTTCTACTGCCACCACCTCAGCGGTCCCTTTCTCCCACATTGTCACATGACCTCCTAACTGGTTCCCCTGCTTCCTCCTCGGTCTCCCCATGGTCCACTCCTGGTGCCACAGGCCCTTTTCAGATTTTGGCCAGATCATGTCACTCCTCTGCACAAACTTTTTTGTGGCCTTCCCTCTTCCAAGAAAGTCACAGTCCTTCCAGTGGCCTTTAGCCTGGCCCTATAAACCCTGTTCCCCACCAGCTCTTGGTCCTCCACTGCACCTCTCCCTGACTTGTTCTGCTTCAGCCTCACAGCTCTCCTTGCTGCTCCATGAATACACCAGGCATGCTGCCACCTCGGGGGACTGGCAACCCTAGATCACCTCCCTGCGTGGCTTGACTGCTCACTTCCCAAAGACCTGCCGAGGTCTTTGCTCAAATGTAGGCTCATCCTGAAGGCCTTTCCTGACAACCATTTACCATTCAACCACTTTCCTCACTCTGGCACTCCCAGTTATCCTTGCTGGCTCTATTTTTCTTCAGAGCACTTAATCACCCTCTGACATCCTATATCTTACTTATTTATTATTTATTGCTGTGCCCCTCTCTATAATGTAAGCTCTATGAGGGGAGGAATGTCCATTGTTTCCAGTTGTATTGCCAGAATCTATAATAATGTCTGAATATGATAAATCCTCAATAAATATTTGTTGAATGACTGACTGACTGAATGAATGAATGAATAATAAAATGTATAGCGCATGATGGAGGGATTGATGGATGGATAGATAAGGTGAACCATGAGCTCTTTTAGAATGTAGCTGGAAAGAATCAAGGAGCTTTGGAACAAGATAATGAGGTTTGACTGAATCTGGAACAGAGACAGAAGCTTTGCCCTCAACTAACCACGTGTGTGGCCATGAGGAAGTCACTTCACTTTTCTAGGACTCAGTTTCTTTACCTGTTAATTGGGATAACCTCTCCTCTCTACTCCCAGAGTAGTATTTCTGGAGGTGAGATGAGGAAAGGGAATTACAAGGGCTGTACAAAGCCAGGGTTCTCTAAACGTCAATGAGTTGTACTCTGTCCACCCCAAGTACAGTAGAGTTGTTCCCCAAAATAACATTCTTATGTAATAATTTTCAGTGTACCCTAGACTTTGATGAGTTCAGAAATTCTGATTTGTGGCTCATCTAGGAGAAAAGAATGTGGAATATTACTAAATCACAATGTAATAATAGTAAAAAACACATCTTTGATATCTATTATGTTGGCACACTAGCACTGACCATCTTCTAAGAGATTAATGGTTATGGCCAAGTGATAATATTGAATTCGTTCAATGATTCAGCAAACTATCTGCATGGTAATAAGCCTTCTCCCTTTTGATGTGGTTTTATTTCCTTTACACATGATAGTTTGCACTGAGAATACTTTCATTTACAAAACCAGAACTGAAAGTTAGGTGCCAAATATCATCACTCTTATTAAATATTTCAGGAAGTTCTTGAAAACATAGTTAAAAAGAAAATTAAACTGCAGAAAAATAACAGACAGAATTACTTCTCTTTGTAGCTAATTTAATTGTGAATTACTAAGAAACCCCAAGTAACTAGCAAAAATTACTAGAATTAATAGGCTTCAAATGATGGTGGAAAAATAAAATAAACATATACAAAATTCTTCACTCTACTAGCAATAACCAGCTATAAATTTTGTAAGAATCTCATTCAAAATACATGTAAAAATTATTTTTAAAAGAAACTACAAAAAAGTTTAACAAAAAAGATACAAGACCCAAATAAAATTATAATATTTTATTGAGTACAGAAAACAAGTCCTGAACAAAAGGAAAAAATGCCAAATTTCTAAATGAGAAGACTAGCATAAGAATGTACCTGCTCCAAAAATTAATAGCTGATTTTTGTTATTTGCAGATTCAATACTTACAAATTTGCCTACTTGCAAAAATTTATTTGTAACCCTAAAATTAACACTCCTGGTGCTTTTTCAGTATTTGCAGACATAAGCAGAGTGGCAAAAAAATTTTGAGTTGCCTGATGCACGTGTTCCCAGCTGAGGTCAAACCAGATAGTGCTCTGTGTTACTGTTTCAGCCCTCATTCTATAAGCAAGTGTCCTTTTCGTGTCTATTTTGTGTCTTGTTTTTTTATATTTGTGCTTTTTGTTGGTGATTTTACTTTGGCAAATGGCCCCAAAGCACGGTACTGAATTGCTGTCTAGTGTTCCCAAGCACAGCAAGGCTACGATGTGCCTTAATGAAAAAATACACACGTTAAATAAGCTTCATTCAGGTATGATTTATATTGCTGTTGACCATGAGTTTAATGCTAATGAATCAACAATATATATTTAAAAAGCATCTTTATACAGAAACACATAAAACAAGGTTGTGCATTGATTGGTTGACAAAAATATTGTGGCCAGAGGCTTGCAGGAACCTAACCCTGTATTTTCTCTAGGAACAATGGGTTCAGTATTTCCTAATTCACTGTTCATGGTAGCCTTATAGAGCATAATCTACTGTATTTAAATTTAATGCATTTCCAGATAGAATCACAAGGTTTTCTAAATAGGATAAAATAATTTTGAAGGTATGTTGGAAGAATAGTTGTACAAGAATAGTAAAATTATGAGACTGAAGAATAGTGAGAGACATTAATATCTGAAGAACAGATGTTAATACAACAGATATTAACACTTACTATAAAACTACTATGACCAAATAATATAGTATAAAACGGGAATGAACATGTAGGTCTAAGGATGAGAATACAAAATATAATAATTGATCTAAGCATATATGGGAACCTAATATATGATAAAGGTGATATTTCAATTCATGGAAAAATAATGCATAATTGGCTATCCATCTGAAAGGAAAATTGGCCCTTATTTTGCCCCATATACTAAAACAAATTCCAAATTGATTGAAATTTAAATGTAAAAAGAATTTAAAATAAATATTAGAAAAAAGAACATCTCCTAAGGAAGAAAGAAAAACAAAAAATCATGAAGGAATAGACAGATATATATGATAGCATGTAATTTTAAACATTTTGTTATGGTAAATGATAGTATAAACAAAATTAAAAATAAGCCCTAGACTTAGAAAAATATTTTCGGTAATAAGATAAATGATGCTATTAAAAGGGTCCCTGAAAAATTGATAAGAAAAACTTGATGTGAGGTCAGAAGTGTTGGCTGCTGTGGAGAATTCAAAACAGGGACCTCCCTGGACATCAAGATGGAAGAGCAAATAGTTTCTCATGCTGGAGAAATGCTCTCCAGTGTGGTGGTCGTATCTTGTAAGGATTCAGTCCCACATCAAGTAGTGTCTTTGACAATGGAAGGAATTGCAATCCCCCAGCTCAGTGCCAAAAGTGTGGGCAGTTTTGAAGCTTTTTATAATTCCATTAAACCTATCCAGATTATCAACAGTGCCATAGAAAGGATGAAGCCAGGGAAATTTCCCTATGGCAAAACAAATTTATTTCGCATTTCTTCTGTATGTGAGGGGTAACAAAGTTCTGTATGAGACTTATTATCAGACATTCAGTATACACTACGCTGTGACATGAGGCAGTCTCTGTTGACCAAGGACTTGACAAAGGCCGGTGAATTTACCATCCACTCTGCTCCTCAGGAGGGGAAGTTGACTCCAAGTCCTGTGGACTTCACAGATTATACCTGCAACCTTACAGAATATCAAAGAGAGAGCCTTGCTCCCCAGATTTCTCATTCGAGAACACCCCAACTCAATGAATTGTGTCATCGTGCAGCTGCTTACAGGAGAGCTGGTGGTGAAAAGGCATGGGGCTGCAACTGGTGCACATGGAGACCTGTGGGTGTGCAAAAAGCTATGCCAATGATGCCACAGAGTTTCCTTATATTCAGATGCCCATGGGGACATTTGTAGGGGCCTCTCTGTCCCTATATACATGGTCTTCTCCAGGCTGTTTACCTGCCGCATGCTGAAGACCAACTTCAAAGTGGAATTTGAGGCCACCATCGACATGCGTCTTCATGCTAACCACCTGGTCACAGAGAACTTCCTATTGCAGCTCTGCAGGACTCAGCCCAGGAGGAGGGAAGCACAGAAAACAGGGGTGGCCTTGTGGATATCCTGCTGGTTATCGTTCATGGGGAACTAAAGCCAGCAGTATATACTTGTTTTTGTGATTATTCTGTATCAGAAATGAAATGGACTCCTTAAATTACAATTATTTTTCCTCCTCATTTCTTCGAGGCTTCTACTTCCAAAAGTCACCTTTAATCATATCTTTTCTTTGAAATTCAACAGAATTTCTTAATGCTGTTTGCAAGATCATTTCACAGAAAACGTTTCCTGTGACTTACCTGTTCTTGTACCAAAAAAGGCACAGAAAACCTGTTGTGACAGCCATTGGAGCTGTGCTGGAAAGTAAGATCATGGGGGCAAAAGGAAACTTCTCTCTGACTCGCTAATAATGAAAGTAGCTGAGCACTCCCCACAGCAAAGGGTCTGTGGCCAGGTGGCATTGCTTATGAAGTTTGTAGATACCCTCCAAGGAAGAATGCAAAGTGGCATCCACTGGAAATGTGTAGCTTTTTTTTTTTTTTTCCGCACTCTATTTCTGTAGTTCTTTTTATAACATTTTTCAATATAACTTCAACATTTTTAGGGAACTGAGAAAAAAGCGTCCCTTGCTCTTATAGGAGTAAGGGGATTTGGCTGGTGCTGGAGTGTTTCTGAACTCTCAAGAACTGTCATAAGAACTCATGCTGCCATATTCCGGGAATATATTTAAATGCAAAGTTATGTAAGGGGAAAAAATGAATGTTTGCTCCTTTTGTTATAGGGAGGGTTCTGAATGGCAGGAGCCCCGTGCCCAGGGTGGGTGGGTGAAGGCTCCTCTCCCCAGGGTGGTGCCAGGAAAATGTCCTTGACTTGATGAACTTGGCCTGCCCCTCACCCACCTGAGGGACCTGTTTTATCCAGGGTTTTTTGACCTGAAGCCAGTGTTTCCTCAGTCTCCCTTTGTGGTTCAAAGTCAATGATGAGTCTGTTGCAAAACATTTCTTCCTTCAAACCCTATCATTGTTTTCTTGGTCCACAATTAACAGGTTCTCAAAAATAAGCTATGTGACCAGGTAAAGTGGCTCATGCCCATAATCCCAGCACTTTGGGAGGCAGAAATGGGAGGATCGCTTGACCCCAGGAGTTCGAGACCAGCCTGGGCAACATAGAGAGATTCCGTCTCTACAGAAAAAATTAAAAATTATCTGGGCGTGGTGGTGCACGCCTGTGGTTCCCGCTATTCAGGTGGCTGAGATGGGAGGATCGCTTGAGCCTGGTAGGTCGAGGCTACAGTGAGCAGTGATTGCGCTGCTGCACTCACTCCAGCCTGGGTGAAAATGTTTCAAAATAATAAATAAATAAATAAATAAATAAATAAATAAATAAGCCATGCTACTTTGCACACTAATTGCCCTTCTTTCATAGTTGCCCTTCTGTGCAGGCCTGGGCAAGGCAGGCTCAGGCTGAAGGCCTCCCAGGCTGTACTTCCATTGTCCTGTAACAGTGTTTGGTGATCTGTAATGCTCCCTACATTACATGCCTTCAATGCTGAGGGTAAACAAACCTGATTTAGGCACTGCTTTATCTTAGGACTTCACCAATTAAACTGATAAAACTTATTATCTGAGTCATTTGTAAGTTGCTTCTTAGAAAATACATTTCTGGTTTATAAATCTTTTATGCTCATATGACATTAATAACTACCTGTATTTGATGATGAGTAGCAGAAAATAAAGAGGCTATACTTTCTAAGAAAAAAAACTCAAGAAGAAGAAGAAAATGGGGAAGAAGAGGTGGGTGAAGAGGAAAATACACAAAATATGTAAATAGGCAATCACAGAAGAAGAGTTGCAAATGGCCCTTAGACACCCAAAAAGATGCTCAACCTCTCTATTGGTTAGAAAAAAGGCAAATAGGCCAGGCTTATGCCTGTGATCCCAGAACTTTGGGAGGCTGAAGGTTCTGCCTCTCAAAGTGAAGGAGGATCACTTGAGGCCAGGAATTTGATACCAGCATGGGCAACATAGGGAGACCCCATCTCTACAAATAATTTTAAAATTAGCTGGGTGTGGTGGTGTGCACCTGTGGCCTCAGCTACTTGGGAGGCTGAGGTAGGAGGATCGCTGGAGTCCAGGGGGTCAATGCTGCAGTGAGCCATGATAGTGCCACTGCACTCCAGCCTGGGTGACAGAGCAAGACCCTGTCTCAAAGAGAAAAAAAGAAAAAAGAAAAATGTAACAATGACATATCATCATTTTACTTATTGAAAAGACAAAGATTAAAATGAATGGCAACATCCTTTGCTGGTGAGGAGGGAAGAACATAGATGCTCTTGAAATCTGGTAGAAGTACAAATGGCTACAGAATTTTCAGAAAATACACTGAAAAATATTTATTCAATAAGTTTATTGAATGTTGTTCTAGGAACTTGGGCTACATCAATGAAGAAAAAGAGACAAGGATTTCTGCTCTCGGTGAGCTTGCATCCTAGTGAGGACCAGACAAATGGAAATGGTATATAAAGGAATTATATCATATGTTAAAATATTTAAGTATTAAAGTTTAAAAAAAGGAGAGGCAGGTAAGAAAAATAAAGACTTGGAGAGATGGCAGCAAATTTAAGTATGGTGGTTATAGCGGACCTCAGTGAGAGGTGACATTTGATCAAAGTTTTGAAGGAAGTGAGGGAGTAAGTCATGCAGACATCTGAGAAAAGGACACTGCAAACTGAGGAGACAGCCAGCACCAAGTGGGGGCATGCTTGGTATTAGGTTGGTGCAAAAGTAATTGCGGTTTTTGCCATTAATTTTAATGGATTCAAAGAACAGCAAGGGGGCTAGCATGATTGAGTGGGATGAGGAAGGAGAGTAATAAGAGAAGAAATAAGGCAGGGCGCGGTGGCTCATGCCTGTAATCCCAGAACTTCAGGAGGCCAAGGTGGGCAAATCACATGGGGCCAGGAGTTGGATACCAGCATGGCCAACATGGTAAAACCCTGTCTCTACTAACAATACAAAAATTAGCCAGGCATGGTGGCATGTACCAGTAATCCCAGCTACTTGGGAGGCTGAGGCAGGAGAATCACTTGAACCCGGGAGGCAGAGGTTGCAGTGAGCCAAGAGAGAGCCACTGCACTCCAGCCTGGGTGACAGAGTGAGACTCCATCTCAAAAAAAAAAAAAAAAAAAAAAGAAAAAGTAAAAAGAAGAGGTGAGGAAGTGGGGGCAGATGGAAGGCCAATGTAAGGACCTGGGCTTTTACTCTGGGGAAACATTGGAGGATTGTTAGTAGAGAATTTAACTGAGGTTTCAAAACTCTCAGTCTGGTTGCTATGTTGAGAATAGACTAAAGAGAGCCAAGAGTTAGAAGCAAGGTTATATAAACATTTTCCTAAATTTTTTCCAATATTTCTATTACAAATTTTAACTTAAAATTTCAATCTGTTTGGAATTTATTTTAGCAAGGGTCTAGCTTTACTTTTTTTCCTGGTGTAGGGGATTATGTGATCTTTTAGCCAATTATGTGATCTTTTTCCCACTTAATTAAAATGCCAGCTTTCTCACATATTAGCTTTCCTTGTATACTTGGGCTAATAGAACTTATATTCTCATCCTTAGATCTATGTGTCTATTCCTGCATTTGCACTAAATTATACTGTCATGGTGGTTCTATAGTAAGTAGAAGAATAAGATTGCCATCAACCGAGATGGGGAGGCTACAGGTAGAGAAGGTTTGTGGAGGAAATCAGGAGTCTAGTTTGGGACACATTAAAATTGAGAAGTCTCTGAGATGTCCACAGGGAGATATTGACCAAGCAGTTGACTATTCATAGCTGGAACTTGGAAAAAAGGGTCTGTACTGGAGATACAAATTTGGGGGTTGTTGGCATGTTAATGGTTGTTAAAGCCATGAGGTTATATGAGATCATCAAAGAGAGAGTGTAGAGGGGAAAGAGAAGAGGATCAAAGACTGAGCCCTGTGACACTCCATTTACAAAGCTGCAGAAAAGAAGAAAAACCAGAAAGGGAGACTGAGAAAGAGGAAAGAATGGAGAGGGAAGAAAACCAAGAAAGTGAGGAATCCTGGAAGACAGGTGAAGAAAGTGTTCAAGGACACAGCATGGTGTTCTACTGTCAAATGCTGCTGCTAGGTCAAATAACAATTGACCTTTTACCCTTGAAAAGTCAATGAATCCAGGAGCTGGATTAATTTGAAAAAAATTAACAAAATAGATAGACCACTGGCTAGACTAATACAGAAGAAAAGAAAGAAGAATCAAAAGACACAACAAAAGATGAGAAAGGGAATACACTATTGACCCTACAGAAATACAATCTACCATCAGAGAATACTGTAAACACCTCTAGGCAAATAAACTAGAAAATCTAGAAAAAAATGGAAAAATTCCTAGACACACACACCCTTCCCAAGACTAAACCAGGAAGAAGTCGAAACCCTAAATAGACCAATAACAAGTTCTGAAATTGAGGCAGTAAGTAATGGCCTACCAACCAAAAAAAGTCCAGGACCAGACAGATTCACAGCCGAATTCTACCAGAGGTACAAAGAGGAGCTGGTACCATTCCTTCTGAAACTATTCCAAACTATTGAAAAGCAGGGACTCCTCCTTAACTTATTTTATGAGGCCAGCATCATCCTGATACCAAAACCTGGCAGAGACATAACAAAAAAAGAAAACTTCAGGCCAGTATCCCTGATGAACATTGATGCAAAAATCCTCAATAAAATACTGGCAAATTGAATCCAGCAGCACATCGAAAATCTTATCCACCACAATCAAGTTGGTTTCATCCCTGGGATGCAAGGCTGGTTCAACATACACAAAGCAATAAACATAATCCATCACATAAACAGAGCCACTGACAAAAACCACATGATCATCTCAACAGATGCAGAAAAGGCCTTCAATAAAATTCAACATCCCTTCATGTTAAAAAAACTCTCGATAAACTAGGTATTGATGGAACGTATCTCAAAATAATAAGAGCTATTTATGACAAACCCACAGACAATATCATACTGAATGGGCAAAAGCTGGAAGCATTCCCTTTGAAAACTGGCACAAGACAAGGATGCCCTCTCTTATCACTCCTATTCAACATAGTATTAGAAGTTCTGGCCAGCTCAATCAGGCAAGAGAAAGAAATAAAGGATATTCAAATAGGAAGACAGGAAGTCAAATTGTCTCTGTCTGCAGATGACATGATTCTTTATTTAGAAAGCCCCATTGTCTCAGCCCAAAATCTCCTTAAGCTGATAAGCAACCTCAGCAAAGTCTCATGATGCAAAATCAATGTGCAAAAATCACAAGTATTCCTATACAACAACAATAGACAAGCAGAGAGCCAAATCATGAATGAACTTCCATTCACAATTACTACAAAGAGAATAAAATACCTAGGAATACAGCTAACAAGGGATGTGAAGGACCTCTTCAAGGAGAACTACAAACCACTGCTCAAGGAAATAAGAGAGGACACAAATGGTAGAATATTCCATCCTCATGAATAGAAGAACCAATATCGTGAAAATAGCCATACTGTCCAAAGTATAGATTCAAAGCTATTTCCATCAAACTACCATTGACATTCTTCACATAATTAGAAAAAACTATTTTAAATTTCATATGGAACCAAAAAAGAGCCTGTATACCCATTTGTTTGAGGGAATGAATTCATAGAAAAACTGATGAACTGGTGCAACAGGGGAGAATTATTGGAGCAATGTCATTCAGCAAAGAGGGGGTGGGATACATGTAGAAGGATTCACTTTAGAATAGGGTATTTATTAGTCATTAAAATATACACAAGATTTGGCCCTTGGAGTACAGGACAATAAGCCAGAAACAACCTAAGTGCCCCTTCGTAGAAAAGTGGTGGAATATGTAGGATTACGAACATTCTGCAGAACATAATGAATCTACTTAAAAGAACAAGTTTTAGCTGCTATCTACTATACTGGAAGGAATTCACCATCATGCATCAGAGAAAAAAGCAAGTAGCAGAATAATGTGTCTGGAATGATTTCCTTGTTTTTTAAAAAAACATTTAAAATACATATTGATGTTTGTAAATATCTGAGTACAGAAAATGATGTGTATATGATATGGTTGTCTCCCCACCCAAATCCCATCCTGAATTGTAGCTCCCATAATCCCCATGTGTTGTGGGAGGGACCTGGTGGGAGGTAATTGAATCATGGGGGCAGGTTTTTCCCATGCTCTTCTCATAATAGTGAGTAAGTCTCATAAGATCTGATGGTTTTATAAAGGGCAGTTTCCCTGCACACACTCTCTTGCCTGCTGCCATGTAAGACGTGCTTTTGTTCCTCTGTTGCTTTCTGCCATGATTATGAGGCCTCCCCAGCCATGTGGAACTGTGAGTCCATTAAACTTCTTTTTCTTTATAAATTACCCCATCTCGGGTATTTCTTCACAGCAGTATGAAAATTGACTAACACAGTGTATGACCGACCACGCTGGCACTCTGATCTCAGACTTTCAGCCTCTAGAACTGTGAGAAAATAAATGCCAGTTGCTTACACCACCCAGTCTGTTTGTTATAGCATCCTGAGCAAATGAAGACAGAGCAGAACAATACCAAGATATGAAAATGATCTCAGATGGGGTAGGAATCGAGTTTGTCATTCAGAAGGTTTGTTACAAAGAAACTGTGGGTCACCCTATTCTTCTACCCCAAAATGCACACCCCTGGTATAATTAAGTATATCACAGAATAATCGTGTCTTTCCTTATGTTCTCATTGTGTCTTGTAGAAAGCATAATGTTATGTGTAAAATGATTCTATATTTATCTGTTCTTTAGATGTGAATTATCTGGAATCAGGAGTTCTCTGCTTTTTTGTTTTATATCTGCCATAACTTGAGATGATGTTTAAAAATAGTTTTTAAATAAAGGAATGAAACCAAATGGAATTGTATAACAGAATATACCTGACCTTAAACTAGTCTGATATATTATATGTTCTTTCAGATTTGACGTGATAAACACATACCTGCATTTATAACTCCTAATGTCTGACCTGGACAAGATGACCTGGGGGATTTTCTGCTGTCACCCCTGAATTCTTTGCATTCTCATGTCTAGATTGTCAAGGAGAAGGGAAAATTGAATTTTTATTTCTATTATTGGCTACTTGACTCTGTCAACAAAATTGTCTGGAAAAGAACACAGAGAGAAAAGTTGGCCTGCTTTATTGCTATTGTGGGGGTGGGTGAGTAAAACCTTCAATATCTAATGTACATTTTCTAAAAAGGCTTTCCTCAATGTCATACCTGATAATTAAAAGTTGCTACAACTTTCTTATAAAACTCAGTAATAGCGTCTCCATTCAGTACAAGAGTTCTAAAGGAACAGCAGATGTAAGGCCAACTGGACCAATGGAAACAGCAGCCACAGGTGCCTCCAAGCCTATACCTGTACCTGAAAGAATGTCTCGGGGTCAACAAACTGAGGACAGCAACTCATGTTACCAGGTGAGTCCAAAACGGAAAGGAACTGCTACTAAAGCACAAATAATCTGGACCATTTTGCAGTGAAGTTCAGTGAAGCATTCCCTAGTTTGGGGATTCTTTTTAAGATGTTCATATGACCAAGGAAAAATCTAAAACCTTCTTTTATTGAATAACTTTTTATCTCAAATCACAAAGTGCTATACATTTATTATAGAAAGTTTCAAAAAGTCAAAAGAGAACAAAGAACAAAATTAAAATGGCAAATAATCCGCTATTACCCCACTGTCAATATTTTGGTATACTTCCTTTCCTATAAACATTTTAAAATTAGCTTAGACTACACTGTAAAATTTATTCATTATATAGTTCTCTATAGTTAGATTAAGAGCATTTTCCATTGTCATTGTAATTCTTCAAAAAACATCTTAATGGTTATATAATTTTTATTTAAATAAGCATAATATGATTTAACTCCACCGTTGTTGATATTTGGATTATTTCTAATTTTTGCTATAATTTAAAACTTCACTATTAAAATTCTTATACATTGTTCTTTGTAAACATCTCCAATTATTTCCTTAGGATACATTTCTAAAGTGAATCACAAGAATGAAAAGTACAAACATTTTTAAGGCTCTTCATGCTTATTGCAAAATTGCCTTTTAGAAAGGAATACCAAGTTAGGCTTCTAGTGAATGTAGCACCTTTCTCACAAGATCCTTGCTAATATTGACTATCGCCTTGTTTTAATTTTTGATAATTTTATCACTGGAATATATTTAATTTGCTTTAATTTGCATTTCTCTGACTCAGAGTGAAATGAAGCTTTTCCCCACATAATGTACAAGGCAACTGTATTTTTTCCTTCATCAGCACCTGCTGCCGTTTTTACTGATGAATCAGTTTGATTTACCAATGTATTTAAACTTTTTATATTTTGACTAGGGAAATCTTTCTTCCTAGTTATTTCCTTTTAGTCTTATTGATAATTTGACTTCCTACATATAAACTTTCAATTCTTATAAAAGCGTTAGTCTTTTTTTTTTTGAGATGGAGTCTTGCTCTGTCACCCAGGCTGGAGCACAGGGGCACTATCTTGGCTCACTGCAACCTCCGCTTCCCGGGTTCAAGCGATTATTCTGCCTCAGCCTCTCAAGTAGCTGGGATTCCAGGTGCCCGCATCACGCCCAGCTAATTTTTGTATTTTTAGTAGAGACGGGGTTTCACTGTGTTGGCCAGGCTGGTCTTGAACTCCTGACCTTATGTGATCTGCCCGCCTCAGTCTCCCAAAGTGCTGGGATTACAGGTGTGAGCCACCATGCTCAGTCTAAAAACATTATCAGTCTCTTTCTTTTTCTTTGTAATTTCTTTCACAGTTTTATGCTGGGAAAAATTTATTCATTGAGAAATCAAATGACTCTAGCTGTATTTTGTTTTAACATCATTTGATTATCTTGACACATAGCTTTTAAATCTATCTGGTTTTTATTCTGATGCATAATCAGAGGTAAGCTAAGAGAGTCCCCTATTCCTTTTTTTGAATAAATCCTTTCCTTTTTAATTTTTATCATGGTTCCTGTAGTATATACCAAAAAATTTGTCATTTTAGAATGTGTTTTAATGCTATCTATTCAGCTCAGTTGCTTTTCATTTTATTTTTACATAAGAACAGCATTATTTGAATTATTCTAGCTTTCTGATAGCCATTAACATAAAGCTAGTTTTCCCTTTTTATTTCATTTTGTTAACCAATTTATTGAGATACAATTGACATGCAAAAGCTGTACATGCTTGGGTGCAGTGGCTCACACCTGTAATCCCAGCACTTCAGGAGGCTGAGGCAGGCAGATCACTTGAGCTCAGAAGTTCGAGACCAGTTTGGCCAATGTGGTGAAACCCCATCTCTACTAAAAATACAAAAAGTTAGCCAGGCGTGGTGGCACACTCCGGTAATCCCAGCTACTCGGGAGGTTGAGGCAGGAGAATTGTTTGAACCTGGGAGGCAGAGGCTGTAGTAAGCCTAGATCACACCGCTGCACTCCAGCCTGGGTGTCAGAGCGAGTCCCTGTCTTAATAAATAAATATATAAATACCATTTAATCAGTTTTTTTTAAGAAAAAGAAAGCTGTACATATTTAATGTATACCATTTGATGAGTTTGGGGATAAAGGTGCACCTGTGAAACCATAAACATACCCATCACCTCCTAAAGTTTCCTCCCTTTATAATTATTATAGTTAATTTGTATGTGTGGTAAGAACACTACAAGATCTAATCTCTGAGCAAATTTTAAGTATACAATACACAGTGCTGTTAACTATAGGCACTGCTGTTTAGTACACCTCCAGAACTTGCTTATCTTGCATAACTGAAACTTTATACCCATTAACCATTTTCCCCCTTTTCATTTTTATATTTTTACGTATTAGCTATTATAACACAATTATTCTTTTTTAAAAATTTTAAATTCTGGGATATATGTGTTGAACGTGCAGATATACATGTACCATGGTGGTTTGCTGCACCTATCAAGCCATCATCTAGGTTTTAGGCCCCGCATGCGTTAACTATTTGTCCTAATGCTCTCCCTCCCCTTGCCCCCGACCCCCTGACAGGCCCCGGTATGTGATGTTCTCCTCCCTGTGTCCATGTGTTCTCATTGTTCAGCTCCCACTTATGAGTGAGAACATGCAGTGTTTGGTTTTCTGTTCCTGTGTTAGTTTGCTGTGGATGATGGTTTCTAGCTTCATCCATGTCCCTGCAAAGGACATGAACTCATTCTTTTTTATGACTGCATAGTATTCCATGGTGTATATGTGCCACATTTTCTTTATCCAGTCTATCATTGATGGGCATTTGGGTTGCTTCCAAGTCTTTGCTATTGTGAATAGTGCTGCATTAAACCTATGTGTGCAGGTGTCTTTATAGTAGAATGATTTATAATCCTTTGGGTTTATACCCAGTAATGGGATTGCTGGGTCAAATGATATTTCTGGTTCTTGATCCTTGAGGAATTGCCACATTGACTTTCACAATGGTTGAACTAATTTACACTCCCACCAAGTGTGAAAGCATTCCTATTTCTCCACAACCTCACCAGCATCTGTTGTTTCCAGACATTTTAATGATCATCTTTCTAACTGGCTTGAGATGGTATCTCATTGTGGTTTTAATTTGCTTTTCTCTAACGACCAGTGATGATGAGTTATTTTTCATGTTTGTTGGCCACATAAATGTCTTCTTTTGAGAAGTGTCTGTTCATATCCCTTGCCCACTTTTTGATGGGGTTGTATAACACAATTATTCTTCTCAACGAATCTTGAAATCATTTCTAAGGTGCCAAAATTAATCCTATTAGTATTTTGGTTAGCTTTGCATTAAACCTATATGTTGATGTGGAAACATCTTTTATCTTTGTGATATTTAGGTTTCTCTATTTTTTCAAGTGTTTTTCTGTCTCTCAGTAAAAGGTTATACATAGCTGATTTCCTGTCATATTGTGATAATATTGTGAGTAGGGGCTTTTCCCACTGTATTATTTCTTAATTATTGATGATGATATTTTGGAAAGCTATGGCTTTTTGAATAGTTACCCTGAAAAGAGAAACTTTTCTGAATGAATTGTTTTAGAAACTCAAATATTGGTTTATTTTGAACATCTTGCTTCTAGGTAGACAATCACACAATCTGAAAAAAATATATATATTTAAATATATTTAAAGATCAACATATAAAATATAAATATATATTTAAATATAACATACATACATATATACACATATATATGTTTATTTACATATATACATATATATTTAAATACACTTAAATACAAAAATACATATATATTTAAATATATGTGTATATATATTTAAATATATATACACATATATACACACACACACACACACACACACACACACATATATATATATGTTTTTTCCCCTCCAATATTTAAACCTCTTGTTTCTATTTCAGGTCTTTATTCCTGAAAGACTCCACATCTTTCAGAGCAATGATAGATAATTCAAGAGATAATGGGGCAACTATTTTTAATGAGAGTAGATTTAGTGGGGGCATTTCTCTAGTGCTTTTCCTTTAGATATTACAGTTTTAGTTGTTGGCTCGAGATGGTTTTTAACGTAGAGGAAGTGTTTTTCTGGTCCTTGTTTTTAAAACTTTTTTGGGGGAGGTGTTTTGATTTACTTATTTAAAATCTGTTTTCAGCACCAACTGAAATTTTCAAACATTTTTTTCTTATTGGAAGTATTTCATTAATAGAGTAATAGTAAACATTTCTGGCATTGCTGCAACTAAAATCTACACTTGTTTGTAGATTATTCTTTAAACGTCCTTTAAATTTTGTTTTCTATTTAGAATTGCAACATTTATGAATCAGAATATCTCCCCACTCCATCTTATCTGCATCAGTTTTGAGCATTTGAGTTTTTATGGCTACATTAAACAACTGAGTCATATTTCATCTTTTCTTGTGTTTGAAATAATTTATCTAACATAGAAATTATTTATTTCTTTAACAATTGCTAATATTCAACAGTAAAGCCCTGGGCACTGGAGGCTTTATAATAGTTTCATAAATTTTTTATTTGTTCAAACTTAATAGTCTCTTCATGCTTTCTTCAGTCAACTTTGATGATTTAATTTTCTTGAAGGAATTATCTACTTTATCAAGATTTTCAAAATAATTAGTTAAGAAAAATATTTTAAGTGTATCATTTTATTTATTTTTCAAATCTTCAAATTTCTATTTGAATTCAACTCAAATATGCTCAACTTTTACTCCCAGAAATCAAGTCATTTTTTTTCCTAAAGATCATTTTTGTTTCTAAATATCTGCTAAGAAAATCTATAATATCCTCAAAATACACAACTACTGGTCAGCCTTTGGTCTATTTAATATGCCCAATTGCATAATTTTTCTGGAAGAGTAGAGTAGACCAGATAATTTGGATGTTTGTAAGGATAAAAGTCTATTGTAAATTGTCTATCCAGGTAAGAACTATAAATTAATTGCAACAGTAGTGTGCTGGTGTACTCAATTATAGTATAAATTATATTGCTCCTTTGTGGCATGTATTAGAAGACTCAATAGTGATGTCCTTAAGAAGACACAAAGCCTATTCTCATTTACATATGGCTGAGCAACATGAATTTTCTTTAATCTGTTGTCCCAAAAGAATGGGCAATTCTAACCACAACAATATGTGCCACCTCTGATATGCAACCAATGAACTGTGTTGTTTACCACGTTAGCGGACAAAGTTCAGCTTTGAGGGGACCATTTCTAAGATAGGTTGCATTCAACCCTGTCATCTTTAAACTACTACAGTGTCTATAGATATGAAGTCTCTGCCCAAGACTTCTGATTATAACTTACAGATAAGGCTTCCTTCTGCCCAGAGGGCCTTAACTTGCCAACTCAGTATCATAAGATCTTAGGTTATTTTAAAAAATCGGAGAACCGGCCAGGCGTGGTGGCTCATGCCTGTAACCCCAACACTTTAGGAGGCCGAGGTGGGCAGATCATGAAGTCAGGAGTTCGAGACCAGCCTGGCCAATGTGGTGAAACCCCGTCTCTACTAAAAACACAAAAATTAGCTGGGTGTGGTGGTGCGTGCCTGTAATCCCAGCTACTGGAGGGGCTGAGGCAGGAGAATCGCTTGAACCCAGAAGGAGGAGGTTGCAGTGAGCCAAGACTGTGCCATTGCACTCCAGCCTAGGCGACAGAGCAAGACTCCATCTCAAAAATAAAAAAATAAAAAATAGGAGAACCAATGCATGCATATGTCAGTAAAATGTTCAGAAATTTTAAAAAGGGAAGAGATAAGAAAGAAATATTCTCACTTACAAGTGGGAGCTTGGGAGCTAAATGATGAGAACACATGGTTGCATAGAGGGAAACAACACACACTGGGGCCTACTGGAGGGCAGAGGGTGGGAGGAGGGAGAGGATCAGGAAAATAACTAGTGGAAACTAAGCTTAATACCTGGGTGATGAAATAATCTGTACAGCAACCCCCATGACACACATTTACCTACGTAACAAACCTGTGCATCCTGCACATGTACCCCTGAACTCAAAATGCAAGTTTTTTTAAAAAAGAAAAATAAGATGGGGGAGTGAACTTTAAAAATACCAGTGAAGTTTTTTCATCAAAGAGATTAGAAATGCTATGTTTTTTTAAGTGTACATTCTGCAAATACTTTAGCATGTTTTCAATCAGCTGTTTATTTGCCCCCACATGTGTAACTCCACTTGTAAGCTTTCGTGCAATCATAATCAGTACAGTCTGAGCTTAAGAAAGGTTTTCAGAATATGGTCATCTGTAATAGTCAGAGAAAAACTGGAGTTTCCGTATTGCAGTTAAGTGTGAGTGGAGAGTAAGTCTTGTGACCATCCAGTGACAAGTGGCCACCTGTGTGTGATGTTTTATTGGGCCTGTCTGCATTTTACTCATCAGCTCATACAGACTGGGACACCAGGAGACACCCCTCATGGGACACCTGCCAAGACACAGGCATCATGCTAGAGTGTGCGACAGAGAGCTGGACTGATGTATGAGGACAAATAAGGAGCTACTCTATTTCCTGCTTCAAACAAACGAGGATGGAAAAACATTCACAATTCAGGCTTTTCTTCACTGTAACATCCATTTGTTCTGAGGGAGGAAATTTAAGAGCTGTTTTGTTCCTTTATTTCACTTTTCTTTTACTTCCCTCTCACCTTCATTATTAAAGTTGCTACATCCTATCTTAGGTATATAACATATTTTTATTAAAAAATGCACTTCATAGAAATAAGACATGAATCTGTTTGACGTATAAGAAGTTAAAATATTATAAATAAATCTAAGGTCCTTTTCAACCATAATTCTCAACCCAGGTCCAGTCCCTAATTCCCCAGAGGTAATCTGTTTGAAGTATATCTTTGCAGATCTTTTTCTATGCATTTTCAAGTGTGTGAGTGTGTGTGTATGTGTGTACGCGCATGCACCTGCCCAAAGGGGCAAATGGATAGTGTCTATTAAACTTAAAACCCAAGAACCTTGCACATGTGTACAAGGAGGCACATACGGCTATGTTTACTACAGCATTGCTTTTCATTTTGAAGATTTTGAAATATTGGAAACAGCTTATGCTTTCATTGCGAATGACTAAATAAACCATAGTGTCTATTCTATGGATATACCACCATTTGCACTAACCTGAAATGCTTCTCAATTGCAGAAAAATATGTACCACATAATACTGGTGCAAGAAATTCTTTTAAAGATTTTCTTCATATTAACAATATACATTAAATCACTGAGTTATTTGAGAATTTTAAGGTTTTTCATTGTTCTCCCTAAGTGTTAGAACACATAAATAAGTTTATAGCATATGTATACACTTTTCCTACTCTATCTCCACCATATATAGAGACTGAATAGAGGTAAACAATGGCTTATGAGAGTACAGTCATTTTACAAAGCCATGATATTCTGCAATTATTATTTGAGTTGTAATTATTTTAAAAATAATGTAAAGTTCGCTGATTCAAAGACTATGCTATGCACGTGGAAGCTGTTTAAGTATTTGAATGAAGAGGCAGTGGCACATTTCACTCAAAGGGGCTGCAAAGGGCACACAGCAACCAGAGAATGCGACTTTAAGTCTGTATATAGTTCAGTTTCTTCTTCCTGCTACTGCCCTTTTGCTTTTTCAGGCTGTTCCTGTGCAACAATGTTCCTAAAATGGCCAGCCCCTCTTCAGATCATTTGCAGGGATGGGAGAAGACTGCAGATTGTAGCCACAGCTGTTTATAAATGGAGTGTAATGAAATCCAATCTTTCATTCCGATGTGTGGGAGCCAAGGGCTGGAACATGGTGCCCCAGGAGCCTGGGCCAGACTGGGTCAGGTCAGAACTTGTCCTGGGGTTGCAGTTCAGGGCGCAGAGTGTGATGTAAGAGACAAGGTTTGGTGGGGAATTCCTAAGTGACAGCCAAGTTGACCATTATTTATTCAAAACACTTGGTGGATTTGAAAAGAAATGATGACTTTAGTGCACACGCAGGTAGCAAGCAAAGGAAAGACAAGAAAGTGAAAGTTAAAGGTGTATGGTAGAAGTAAGAGACTTCCTAAGCCAAGGGAAAGAAAGTGACTCAACTGCTTCCTGTAGATGCCTTTGGGGAAGAAGACATTCAGGGTAGCAACTTAACTTGAGCAAAAGACTATTGTGACGTTATTTCTAAAACCTAAAACTGTTTTAACTTCTTTTGTGAAATTGGATATGCAGTTGTACTTTGAGCATGTAAACATCTGCGTCATCATACACGAATGTAAACCCAAACAGCAGCCACTTTTTGAAATAGATTGAATTTCTTTGAAAAACATAATTATCATGTTCTTATATGGATTTTTAGGATGTGGATTAAATTCAAACCAAAAACTTATTTTTTTATTTCTTCCTTCTCTAGACCATGGTCAGCACTAGGAATGAACTGCCGAGGACTCATGAATCCATTAATGCTCTCCATAGAGAAAGAAGATAGGAGCCACATGAGTATGTGCAAATACCGACCACAGAGAGAAATCCATAGCATTTCCTTTGCTTTTAGAGAAAAATTTTCTACAAAAATTTTACCATTTTTTTTTAATTTGGGAGAAAATTTTAAGCCAAGAAATCCTGTGATTCCAATATGAAGGTTAAAGGGAGCTTTGACTGTATTTGAGTAGTTAAGCATAACAAAAATGACCAGGCTAAGTAAGTTTTGACTTTCGATTGCCTGATTTTATTCCTTGGAATTTAGTTAAGCACTTTTAGTGAAGTATTGATTCTTGTGTATATCTTGTGTTATGTATGTGTTTTACCTTCTTCTAAAGAAATCAGTACTTGTTATCCAACAGCATTCTAACTTTCTACTAGGTTTATTAGGCTGAATGGAAACTGTCTATCATCTTCTTATTGTGTCTTAAGGAACTAATCATCTCTTGAGCTCTTAGCTCCTGCTGTTATTCCTTTAGAAGACAGAATTCCTGGCTCCCCAGTAAGAAGTTTCCCCTGAGGGAAGACCTTTGTTTTCAGGCACAATACTTAATATCCAGTACATGTCCAATAAACTAGCAATTCTATGTATATATGTATGATGAGATATGCTTCCTAATCTAAATGTACAGAAGAAATAAAACATTTTCTAAATTCTGTGATAACTCAGGAAAAGGAGTTCAATAAACACTTTTAAAGTATCAAAATAATTTAAATATTAAAAGTAGTTTTCATCTTTTTCATGGAATAAGAAAAAGAAATTAGAAAACATTTTTAAAGCAGTAAAGCACTAGAAAGGCTATATTAAAATTGAAAATGTAGAAATAAAAGCAAATTTTAAAATTTAGTTTTTTTAACTTACCTTCTTAAAATGATTATTTAAAATGAATCATTTTAAACTAAATATTCCCTTTGATATAATCCATGTCTACTATTTACAGCATTTGTATACTGCTAAAGTATTTATCACTACAAAGTGTACCAAAGTGTAAGGCTGATTATTGAATGAAATAAAACATGAAGCTCCATCTTTGTTCCTGTCTGCACCATCATTTTTATCAATAATTTGGATGAAACTGTAGACAGCCCAATTCTCAAATGTGTGTGTGACATGATACCAAAACCCCTAGGTAATAAACTGAATTACAGTCTTGGATCACTGAGATGTAATAGACTGGAATAGTGAGGCAGTTAATAAAGACCAAATTTTAAGGGATTAAAGTCCCACAATTGGAGGCCCATGTGCACAAGTAGTGTGAAAAAGACCTGTGATATATGTGGTAGTTAACTGCAAGTTCACTGATAGTCAATTATGTCACTGATTATTTTAAAAGCAACAGTCTCAGACACATTAACAGAAAGAGTACTATTCAATTACTAGTTATCTATTATTAGTCTACACTGTGCTAGGTAAATTTATTAGTCCAATCTCACACTGCTGTGAAGAAACGCCTGAGACTGGGTAATTTATAAAGCAAACAGGTTTAATTGACTCACAGTTCCACACTGCTGGGGAGGCCTCAGGAAACTTACAATCATGGTGGAAGGCAAAGGAGAAGCAGACACCTTCTTCACAGGGTGGCAGGATGGAGTGAGGACAAGCGGGGGAAACGCCAGATGCTTATAAAACCATCAGATCTCGTGAGACTCACTCACTATCATGAGAACAGCATGGGGAAAACTGCCCTCATGATTTAATTACCTCCACCTGGTCCTGCCCTTGACACGTGGGGATTATGGGGATTACAATTCAAGATGAAATTTGGGTGGGGACACAGCCAAACCATATCAGTAATGGACAAATTAAATAACATTTAACTGCTTTGGGCATGATTAGCTTGCCTAGGGAGTATTCGTGTTTTCATTTGAACAGTTAATACATGGGAGATTCAAGCTGCTTAGCCTCCACCAGAAAGCAGGAATACAGATAAAGATATAAAAGTATAGAAAGGCAGATTTTATGTCGTTTGAAAGGAATTATTTCTTAGATAACCTGAATTGTTTGTTATGAGTAGATAATTGCCTGGAAAGTCCTGGGCTCCCAGTTGCTGGCAATATTGGCACCAGGTGATTTGTATTTACTAGAAACAACCCATAAGCATCTCTTCTTTAAAAAGAAGCAGAAGAAGAAAAGAACTGGATTTCTGACAGAGTCCTACCTTCTTTCACCTGGATTGTGGAAGGATAGGGATTTATGTCTTCTAGTTGTCCAGACCTGGTGGATAGGCCAGAGTGGAGGAAGCAGACATGGGTGGTGGACAACATGAGGAAAAGAGAGAGCCTGACATCGTTAGTGGTCATAACAAGCACAACACTTTGGGTCCAGAGAACACTGTTTAGACAGGCTGTCTGAGAATGTTTTTTTGTTGTTGGCTGTGTAAAATCCCTGGGCTGACTCCTTTCTGAGAAACCCATCATAAAGATATACCTGAAACTCCAATTACGAGCAAGGATTTTAGAGTCAGACTCCTGTTTCACCTGTGTGTGACTGTCTGGAAGTTAGAGGGCTATCTTTCAGAGATGCCTGCTTTGCATGGGAGCCCAAACTAAATTTCAAGACCTCCCCAAGCTCTATGCAATTAGGAATTTCGCAGGTTCTAACACTGAGAAATGTTGCATTTCATACCAGACAGCCAATTTCCACAAATTCCACAAATATGCTAACAGCAGTGATCAAATAAAATTACTTTATTTAGACAATTTTAGTTGTAAACCTACTATATGACAGGAACTATTTTAGGCCTGATCCAGAAGACATGTCAACACACACACACACACACACACACACACACACACGCACACGCAAAGTTGCCAGAATAAATAGACAATAAGCAATTAATTAAGGAGTAGAGTAGGTAATATATAAGTAAAATAATAAGCAAAGCCCATAGTCTGTCACAGTGTATGGCTGTCTAGAAATTTGAAGGCTGGACTCTTCAGGCTCTGTAGTAATTAGACATGGCAGAATGCCACAGAGACAAGTAAAGAAGGGAAGAGTTTGGCCATGCTGGAGGAGAGGTTGGGGTTGTCATTTTTGTATTCAAGTAGGGCAGTCAGATAATGCCTCACTGAAAAGGCGCCTTGAGAGCAAAGACTTGAAGGAGGTTGGGGAGGGAACTGAGCAATGAGCTGGGGAAGAAACAGCATCCAGGCAGAGGGAGCAGAAGAGCAGACTCTAAGTGGGGAACAGACCTGGGGTGTTCAAAGAGGAGCGAGGAGCTCCATATGGCCACAGGGCAGTGAATAAGCCGGAAAGCAAGAGATGAGGTCAGAGAGGGAAGGGGGGTCTGTGCCGTCTTTGTGGGGCTTGTCCACCTCTGTAAGGACTTTTGTTTACTCTAAATGAAGAGGGAGCCCCTGGAGGGTTCTGAGCAGAAGAGCAACATAGCTTGACTTTTGTTTTAAAGAATTGCCCTGATTACCTTGACTACTTGGTTCATATTTTTTTAGAGACAGGGTCTCTCTCTGTCAGCCAGGCTGGAGAGCAGTGGTGCAGTTATAGCTCACTGTAACCTCTAACTCCTGGGCTCAAGTGATCCTCTTGACTCAGCCTTCTAAGTAGCTGTGACTACAGGTGCCACCGCACTCAGCTAATTTGTGTGTGTGTGTGTGTGTGTGTGTGTGTGTGTGTGTAGAGATGAGGTCTTGCCATGTTGCCTAGGCTGGTCTCAATTTCCTGGCCTCAAGGGATACCCCAACTTGGCCTCCTAAAGCACTAAGATAACACACACACACACACACACACACACACACACGCACACCCATGAGTGAGTGCACCCAACTTCTTGGTTCATTCTTAAACCAATGAACAACTAGACAAAAAGAGAAGCCAAAGCAGACCTACAATCCATGAACTGCAATATTCTTCCTCCCCTGTGTTCCTGGTCAAGTGTTGGGTGTTTAGCCATGACGGGTGTACTTTCATTCTGAATGGAGTATTTCTAGACAAAAGGATAGTGTATAAAGTCAATATTCCTATTTAAGTAGCCAGTAGAGGGAAGCTGTCAAAAGTAATCTGTAATATGCGTGGTGAGTTTTCTGAAATACTTCTAAAGCCAGTGGAATGCTTAGTAGAATCATATCCATAATACACACAAAGGCAGCTGCACATGGTGAACAAACAGTGTCAACAATATTGATCAATGTGAGATAACAGTTGAGGCACAGGGTTTTCCAATAGCCAGGCATGGTGGTGTGCACCTGTAATCCCAGCTACTCAGGAGGCTGAGGCAGGAGAATCACTTGAACCCAAGAGGCAGAGGTTGCAGTGAACCAAGATCGCGCCACTGCATTCTCCAGCCTAGGTGACAGAGCGAGGCTCCATCTCAACAAAAAACACAGTTGAGACACAGGGTTTTCCAGCATCTTTTCCCACAAAAAGGACCGGAATACATCTTACCAGGGCTCTAATTAGTGTACTGGCCTCTTGCCCTTCCAAACCGCTCAAATCTGTTCTCTTTTCAGGCTCCTTAAAAAACAGTTAAACCAATACAAAGACAAGTTGCAAGCTATATACACCTCCCAGGAAGAAAGAATTTGTCGATTTGAAACAAGGATTCACAAACTCAAAACCAACCAGGATAGTCTATGGACCAAGCTACAACAGATAAGACGGGACCTACAGGTATAAAATGTGAGGGACACTGGCCATCTGGACTGCCTGGAAGTCTAACCTTGAGTCCTTCAGCCAAGGGAGGAGCTTCCCACCTTACTTTGATCAGCCTCTTCCCTTGCCTCTTCTCCCCGTACCCTGACCTCCCATTTCCTCATCCAGGCTATATCCTATCCCTCCATGAAGGCAGTGCCATTGAAAAACAACAGGATCTGTAATATTTACAAACAATAGACTTTGGGGCAAAGTGATTCTTTATAGCGTCGGTTTTTTAACCTTTTGATCTCAGGATCCCTGTACATTCTTAAAAATATTTGAGAACCCCGAGGGGAATTTGGTTCTGTGGTTATATCTTTTTGCATCAATATCTGTTGTTATAGATATAACCACAGAAACAAAATGAAAATGAATGAATGAAAATTAAATTAATAATAAAATAAAATTAAATAAATAATAAAATTACTGAAAATTAAAACTGAGTTGTTAAATAAATTAAATAAGTAATAAAATTAATGCAAATTAAAACTGAGAAGTTAAAATGTATTCACTAACTAAAACATAAAAATAATAAACCCATTAAATATACAGATAACATTTTTAAACAATATGTTTTTCTAAAAACCTTAGAAGAGTGGCATTGCTCTATATTTTCCACAAATCTCTTTAAATACCTGGCTTAATAAAAGACAGCTGAATTTTTGTAACCACTTCAGCAATCAATCTGCTGCAATGTGTTTCGGTTGAAGTATCTGAAGAAATCAGGCCTCACACAGATTTGCAGGTGAAAAAGAGAGAAGTATATTAATAGCCTTTCAGATACCGAGGCATACTTCTCTTTAATACTACACCAAAACATGATACATGACAGCTTCTTAAAGGAGACTTTAATCTGAAACCATATTTATGTCACGCTGTTTCATTAAAATCCAGTGTTCTTACATGGTCTTTAAGTGGGTCTCTTAGCCACGCATGATTGTGTAACATTATACATTGGTCATTTGGAAAATATTGGTTCACTGAGCTATACTGAATGTCCTAATGCTCATCCATTTTATGATACTGGGTGAAAAAAATTCACGTTCATTAATGTCACTGCCAATGTAATTACAAAATTGCCTAAGAATTGGAAAGCTATCAAGCTCATAGTGGTAGGATGCAAGTTTTCCAAAATTCTAAGTTTTGACTGAAAGCCTGTTTTTTATGTATGTAAATATACATTTTAGACAGGGTCTTGCTCTGTCATCCAGGCTGGAGTACAGTGGCAGGATCATAACTCACTGCAGCCTCGAACTCCTGGGGCTCAAGCAATCCTCCCGCCTCAACCTCGTGGCTAGCTAGGATCTCAGGCTCATGCCAGCACACCCAGCTAATTTTTATTTTTATTTTTTGTAGGGAGGGGGTCTCACTATGTTGTCCAGACTGGTCTTGAACTCCTGGCCTCAAGCAATCCTCCCACCTCTACCTCCCGAAGTGCTGGGATTACAGACATGAGCCACTGCGCCCGGCCTTAACTGTTATAACTGACAGCAAATACTGTTAATTGTTCTCCTTGCAGTGACATTCTCGCTTTGTTCATTTTTGAGAAACTGTTTGACAAATACCCAAGTCTGAATAACCATAGTCTGTCAGTCTTTCTTTGACACAAGAGGCAACCCTTTCATATTTCAGTACACATCAGAAGTGTCTTATGCACACTTCCCACTTCATCACACATAATATTTAAAAGACATGTGTTCATATTTTTAAAACTAAGAACTATTTCTATTCCATCAAAGGTGTTCTTAAGCAGAACTGGCTTTTTTTTTTTTCCACTGCTAGTGTATGAGGGTGAAGAATACCCTGATTATTAGCACTGTTTGGTGATGCTGCCTTGATTCACACTAAAGCACCAACAGCTTTACTTATTGATTTTGCATCATCAGTGCACATGTCAATACAATAAACAAATAACATCTAAGTATCCTTATGAACATAATTTTGACATCACAAACCCTAGAAGGGTCTTGGGGATCTCCTAGGGTCTGTGGGCCACACAATGAGAACTGTGCTTCAAGCGGAGCACATCCCTGGATTTTCTCCCTGTGGCTTACTGTGAAACCCTTCACAACACACCTACCAGAAAGACTATTATAAAATGCTTTATTGTGATAATTTTTATCTGTCAATTCAACATATGCTTATGTTTTCAGAAATTCCTTATGGTATTTTTAGAACTTGGGCTTTTTAGAACCCAGAATTTTCCTAAATTTCTTGTAATTATTCCCTCTGTTATTTTAGAATCTGAGCTGTTCCAGCTCTTGTAGAGAGTTTTAGGTTGACATAGAATTAGCAGAATAAATTAAAATTAATAGTAATGATAATATATTTACAGAGGAGAAAGAAAAGTCTTGCATTAGAATGTTCTGTTGGAATGTTGAAATGTAATGCATTTATGAAAAAGTAAGATAAACATTAATTTCTTCATAAATAAAGTTTTGTTTCCCCAGGCAAGGTTGCAGCCACCCGGTCCTTCATCTTCTTCCTTTCAAAATGTGGGGAACAAGGTTGACCATTCTTCAACTGAAAAGGTTCCAAAGGGAGGGGATTATTTGCAGATCAAGAATGCCACTGAAGATGCTTCAACAGGGGAACCTCTTCCTAAGCTTGATGAGGTTGACAGAAGTCACAGAAGTCACACAAATGCAGAGCATGCTCTGCGAAATCCAGAATCACCAGAGACCACTTTGCACAGCACCAGGGCACAAAGCCAAACACAAAAGATGCCACAGAAAGTCATTAGTGCCCTACCCAGTTATCAGGAGGGACTGAAGCAGGACATCCCCAAAATGGTTCCTGCTGAAATGAGCAGTCCTGCTCTGGCAGCCGTGGAAAAGAAAGAGGCAGGTAACATCAAGGAGAGAAAGGATGAGCTGGAGGAAGAGGAACTGCAAGAACTATTGTCAAAACTTATGGATGCCTTCAATCTAGAAACGCCATCAGGTAAGGTTTTCACAATCCATAGACATCGTGATGGCCAAGGATTCAAGCTGCCTTTTTAAAAACTTGATTTTATAACAGCCCAACAGCTCCAGTTCATCTAGTATGTAGCAGTGCTCTGAATCTATTGGTTATCAGTAGCATCTCTGAACTTGATTTTTAGGATTACCTAATTCACAGGTCTGTTGTGAGTATTAAAGGTGATAAACCATGTAAGACTTTAGTATAGAACCTGGCATATAGTGAGCATTCAGTAAATGCTTTATTATTTTGTTATTGCAAAATATTGTTATTATTATCAGTATCCCTAAATCATATATAACTGGGCAGCCTATGTCACCATTTAAAAATGGTGATAATATTGTAACTCTCTTTCTAGAAGAGAATTGATTGCAGTTTCTATGTTATAAGTAGTATTATCATTATTATCTTCTGCATAAGCTATGATTCATTGCTAAATTCTGAAGGCTTTAGATAAGATCCTTCTTTACTGTAGTTACTGCTTCTGTTTTGGAGTGCCATTGTCTTATTTCTCATTAGGGTATTTTGTTATCTTTACATATGTAGAGAGAGATCCTTCTCAGTTTACAATGGGGTTACATCTGATAAATGCAATGTAAGTTGAAAATATTGTTAGGTAGAAAATGCATTCAGTATACCTAACCTACCAAACATTATAGCTTAACCGACCTACCTTAAATGTGCTCAGAACACTTACATTAGCCTATAATTGGGCAAAATCATCAAACACAAAGCCTACTTTATAATAAAGTGTTGAATATATCATGTAAGTCATTAAATATAATACACTGTGGAGTAGACTACTGATCATTTACCCTTGTGATTATGTGGCTGACTGGGAGCTGTGGCTCACTGCTGCTGCCCTACTTCACAAGATACCACATATTGCTAGCCTGGGAAATGAACAAAATTCAAAATTTGAAGTATTATTTCCTACTAAACACATATCACTTTTGCACCATCATAAAATTTAAAAAATAGTAAGTCAATCCATCATAAGTCAGGAACTATTTATAGACACACATACACAGTTGATTCTTGAACAATGCAGGGATTAGGGGTGCTGGCCCCCTGCACAGTTGAAAATTCGCATGTAACTTTACTCCCCAAAACTTTATTAATAGCCTACTGTTGACTGGAAGCCTTACCAATGAACATAAACGGTTGATTAACACACACTTTGCATGTCATATGTATTATATACTGCTATAATAAAGCTCGAAAAAAGAAAATGTTTTCAAAATCATAGAAAGATAAATATATTTAAGTGGAAGTGGATCTTTATAAAGGTCTTCATCCTCATTATTTTCATGTTGAGTAGGCTGAGGAGAAGAAGAGGGAGGAGGAGGGGTTGGTCTTGCCGTCCCAGGAGTATCAGAGGCAGAAGAAAATTCACATATAAGTGGACTTGAACCCATACAGTTCAAACCTGTATTGTTCAAGGGTCAACTATATATAAATTTCTTTCTAAGAAAGCTTAAGTTGTCTTATGTTGGAGTGATCATCTACAGACTTGTGATAAAATGAAGGATAAAATACTCATGTGTTTTTGCATCAGAGGAGGCCTTCTCAAAATATTTCTGAGTTGGCGTATTAGTTTGCTGGGGCTGCTATAACACAGTAACACAGATTCAGTGGCTTAAACGAAGAACCAAAATATATTTTCTCACAGTCCTGGAGGCCAGAAGTCCAAGATCAGGGTGTCAGCAGTGTTGGTTTCTTCTGAGACTTCTCTCCTGGGCTTGCAAATGGCTGTCTTCCCTCATGCCTTTATATGGCCTTCCTTCTATGTATGTCTATGTCTATGTCCAAATTTTTTCTTTTTATAAGGACACCAGTTATATTGGATTAGGGCTCATCCTAGCGACCTCATTTTAACTTAATTATCTCTTTAAAGACCCTGTCTCCAAATACAGTCACATTCTGAGGCACTAGGGGTTAGTCAGGCCTTCAATATATAAATTTGGGGTAGGAGGGGGGCACATTTCAGCCCATAAGTGTTGGAGGGCTATAAACCGAGTACATAATAATGTCAGCTTTGCATAGAACTTGGTAGAACCAAGTCAATAAACTAATTATTCGGCGATTCTAAAATACTCTACAGTAAATTGAGTTGGAGTTATAATCTTTGTATTAACAAAAACAAGTTCAGAAAGATGCCAGAAGTATGCTCAAAAGGCAAGGGATGGGAACTGCTTGTGCTGATTCTTAAGCTGACGCAAAATTCCACCCACTGCATTTCCATCTAAACATTTTTGGGGTCATGATGAGTATTCAAAGCGAAGTCAATATCCACTTGACCTTTTTAGGAAAATTTCACCAAAAGTTTGGACTTTATAGAAAAGTTTTTTAGTCTTTAGCGTATTCATGTTGTTTTTATTTTTTATTTTTGTTTCTCTAAATGAGCTGGAGAAAGCTGATAATTTCTAAAATATTGTGTTGGGTCAGCCCTCACAGATGTAGTAGCTTTATTGCACATTTTAGATTGTTTGTAGGCTAGGTCTACTACACATATTTGGAAGGCAGTATCCCAATACTTGTGCAGTTTAATACTTAAAGCTAAAAGATTCATTCATAGTTCAAGGGACCTTATCAAGATATAAATATACATGCATCACTATATCATTAAAAGGAAAATTATAAAAAGGTGAAGTATACTTCTAAATTCAGTTGATGCAATAATGTATAAATATACAATTAGCATTATCAAATCTTGTAGAAAATATTTTTAAAAGTCTCAAAATATTTACTTAATGCTTTCACTCACAATCTCAATAGAACCATTGAGAAGTTTCTGCAGGAAGTATGCCTTATTATATAAATGTGCTTATGATATGAGCAGAATGGTACACATCTTTTTTTCTTTGCAAGAAAAAAAGTACACATCTTTATACTTTGCAAGTATAGAAAACATAAAATTTCTTGAATAGTAATACAACAAATACTAATTGTTGAGATTTAAAATTTCACTTTCCCTTCTTTTATATTAGTCTTATTTCCTTAAGGCATTTAAACATGAGAAACTATATTAATCTTCATGGCTACCGTTTTGCATTATATATCACTCCTCACCCAATTATTTCTAATTATGTTTATATCGTTATTCAATTTGATATTGAATATGATCCTATTTTCAAACTTCACTTAGCCATTGGCAATTTGGATTACTAAAATACGCTTTATAATTTAAACATAATCTATGCATACTTACTAAAAGTATACCAAACTTAATCAGAGCCAGAACTATGATAACCACATGGATGAAGATGTGGAAAGTGAAACAAGCAAAATCAAAGTATTTTCGTTTGCCTCTATCTCTATCATGGATGCATCAGATAATAGCAAGAAGTTTCTAATCACCCTACCGATCCAGTTTTTTTTTTTTTTTTTTTTTTTTTTTGAGAATTGTTGGGCCCGGCGTGGTGGCTCATGCCTGTAATCCCAGCACTTTGGGAGACCGAGGCGGGCAGATCACGAGGTCAGGAGATCGATACCATCCTGGCTAACACGGTGAAACCCCGTTTCTACTAAAAAATACAAAAAAAATTAGCCGGGCGTGGTGGCTGGAGCCTGTAGTCCCAGCTACTCGGGAGCCTGAGGCAGGAGAATGGCTTGAACCCAGGAGGCGGAGCTTGCAGTGAGCTGAGATCGCGCCCGTGCACTCCAACCTGGGCGACAGGGTGAGACTCCGTCTCAAAAAAAAAAAAAAAAAAAAAAAAAGAGACTGTGAGAACTTAACGGAAAAGAGAAAACTGTGTAGAAGTTCCACAAACCTCTTTAAATTCCAAACTTGGATTGAAAATCAGTAGTGAATAATTTGCATAAAAATTGCAGTAAAAAATAAATTTGGAAAAGTGTCAGCTGTTCCTTGCCTCTGCTGTGGCAAAAAAAAAAAAAAAAGTCCTCTTGTTTTACTGTATTATTCAACTATTTTTTTCCATTTGATAGTAAAATTTCTTGCATATGTCTACTAAGTTATTTTTCTAGCTTCTTTTTCCATCCTTTTTAACTATTCATTTGCCACTATAGGTTTCACTGATGAGAAGTCAAGACAGAGGAGTAGAGTGATGATATTAGGAGGGCATGGTTTGAGAACAAAGATGGTATCTTGGACTAGCATGAAAACACTTATCATAGCTTTTCCAAAAGGCTCAATGCAAAGCAAACAGGAAAATAAAACCCATATCCCAGCTTCTCACTTTGCAGGGGGAAACAATTGGACCATTCATCCAACTTTCTAACTCTTCTGGGGGCTGTCCAAGGGACTGGGCTTCTGTCTAACCTGTCTCAAATTACTGACAAAACCCATCATATTCTAGATGCCTGAGAGATGCTTAAAAACAAAAGGCAGCTGGGACTAGTATGAACGTTTGAACAGCCCCCGAGAATCTCTGACCAGGCTGATTGCTAAGGGTCTTCTGTATGAGGCCAGTCTTGAAGACTAAGAGAGATAGTTATTTTTTCTATTGCACAGATACTAAAATAAAGAGTAAAGAAGAAGAAGTAATAGAGAAACATAGTCCAACAAAGAAGTAAGAGCTCCAAAATGGACCCTTATGAAATAGTAATATTTGAATTACCTGACAGAGAATTGAAAATAACCATCATAAAAATGCTCAGTGAGCCAGGAGAACAATACATGAACGAAATGAGAATTTCAACAAAGAGATAGAGAAATTTTTAAAAGAACCAAACAATAGTCTTGGAGCTGAAGAATGTAATAATTGAACTAAAAATTTCAATAGAAGTGTTCAACAGCAGACTAGATCAAGCAGAAAAATCAGCAAACCCAAAGACAGATCATTTGAAATTATCTGACAAGAAGGGAAAAAAGAAGAAAGAGTGATGAACGTTTAAGGGACGCATGGGATGCTATTAAGCTGACCAATATTTGTAATATGGGAGTTGTAGAAGCAGAGGAGAAAGAAAGGGTCAGAAAGCTTATTCAAATAAACAAGGGCAAAAATTTCTCAAATTTGGGAAAGAAAATGGACGTCCAGATCCAAGAATCCTAACAGACCCTGAGTTAGATGAACTGAAAGACTTCAACACTGAGACACATTATAACCAAATTGTCAAAAGTCAAACACAAAAGAGAATTTTGAAAGCAGCAAGAGAAAAGTGACTTATCATGTAGAAAGAAACCCTTATAAGATTATAACAGTTTTTGCATCAGAAATCTCACAGAAATGGGATAATATATTCAAAGTGCTGAAAGAAGAAATAAACTATCAATCAAAAATACTATATCCAACAACTCATTAGTAAAGGTAAATATATACAGGCAAATACAAAATACTATAAAATGAAAATAGTGGTATTTAAATAATTTTAATTTTAATATGAAAGTTAAAAGACTCAAGTATTAAAAACAACATTAAAATATGTTAATGAATATACAATACAAAAATAAGTAAATTGTGATGTCAGTAACAAAATGTGGGCTGGATGTGGTGGCTCACATCTGTAATCCCAGCACTTTGAGAGGCTGAGTCAGGGAACTGATTGAAGCTAGTAGTTTCAACAAGCAGTTACTAGCTTGAAGCTGGTAGTATGCCTGAGCAACATAGTGAGACCACATCTTTACCAAAAAATTTTTGTAAAGATGTGTGGTGTGGTGACGCATGCCTATAGTCATATCTACTCAGGAAGCTGAGGAGGGAGGGTCACTTGAGCCTTGGTGTTTGAGGTTACAGTGAGCTAATCACACCACTGCACTCCATTCTGGGCAAGACAACAAGATCCCATCTCTAAAATGAAAACAACAATGAAACAATGAACAAAATAAAAATAAACAAACCAAAAAGAAAAGTGTATGGGGATGGCTGGGCGAGATGGCTCACGACTATAATCCCAGCACTTTGGGAAGCCGAGGTGGGCGGATCACCTGAGATTGGGAGTTCAAGACCAGCCTGACCAACATGTAGAAACCCCATCTCTACTAAAACTACAAAATTAGCCGGACGTGGTGGCATGCACCTTTAATCCCAGTTACTTAGGAGGCTGAGGCAGGAGAATCACTTGAACCCGGGAGGCAGAGGTTGCGGTGAACCAAGATCATGCCATTGCACTCCAGCCTGGGCAAAAAGAGTGAAACTCCGTCTCAAAAAAAAAAAAAAAGACTATTTAGAAAAGTGTATGGGAACTAAAAGTGAAAACTTTTTGAATGCAATTGAAGTGAAGTTATTATCAGCCAAAATAGGCTGTTATTACTATAAGATTTTTATATAAGCCTCATAGTAAGTGCAAATATAATAGCTGTCAAAGATGCACAAAAGAAAAAAACGAAATAATATTTTTTTAAAAAGACAGCAAACTAGAAGAAGAGGGGCAATACAACTAAAAGACAGACAGAAAACAACTCTCAAAATGGCAAAATTGTCCTCCCCTATCAATAATTATTAAATATAAATGGATTAAAGCCTCCAATCAAAAGATATACATACAGTTGCTGAATGGATTGAAGAAAAAGACCCAACTATATGCTGTCTACAAAAGACTCACTTCAGATTTAAGGACACAAAGGCTGAAAATGAAGGTATGGAAAAAGATATTTTATGTTAATGGTATTCAAAAATAGCAGGGGTGGCTATAGTTATATGAGACAAAATAGACTTTAAGTCAAAAACTCACACAAGTGACAAAGAAGTCATTATAAAATGATAAAAGGGTCAATTTACCCAGAAGATACTATAATTATTATAATATATACACCAAACATCAGAGCACCTAAATATATAAAGCAATTATTGACAAAACTGAAGGGAGAAATAGACAGTGATAGAATAATAGTAGGGGACTTCAATAAACCACTTTCAATAATGATTAGAACCTCCAGACAGAAAATCAATAAGGAAATAGTAGACTTGAAAACAGTAAACCAAATAGGCCTGAGAGACATATAAAGACTATTTCACCCAATAGTGCAGAATATACATTCTTCTCCAGCAAACATGGAACATTTTCTGGGATAGATCATATGTTAATGCACAAAACAAGTCTTAACAAATTTAAGAACATTGAAATCATGCCAAATATCTTTTCCAACCACAGTGAAATAAAACTAGAAATTAATAGCAGAAGGAAAACTAAAAAATGTATAGAGATGTTAAACTACACAACACATTCTTGAACAACCAGTGGGTCAAGGAAGAAATCAATGACCAGGCGTGGTGGCTTATGCCTATAATCCTAGTGCTTTGGGAGGCTGAGGTGGGAGGACCAATTGAGGCCAAGAGTTTGAGACCAGCCTGAGCAACTTGTCAAGACCCTATCTCTACAAAAAAAAAAAAAAAAATTTTTTTTTAATTAGCTGGATGTGTTGGTACGTGCCTGCAGTCCCAGCTACTCAAGAGACTGAAGCAGGAGGATGGCCTGAGCCTGGAAGATCAAGGCTTCGGTGAGCTGTGATTGCACCACTGCACTCCAGCCTGGGTGACAGAGCAAGACCCTATCTCAAAGAAAAAGAAAATTTAGCTGGGCATGGTGACACATGCCTATAATCCTAGCTACTCAAGAGACTGAGACAAGAGAATCATTTGAGCCCAGGAGTTCAAAGTTACAGTGAACTATGATCACATCACTGTGCTCCAGCCTGGGCAACAGAGCAAGACTCTGTCTCAAAAAAAAAAAAAAAATCACACAATCATCACAATAGATATAGGAAAAAAGCATTTTACAGAATTCAATACACTCTCATGAGAAACTCTCAACAAACTAGGAATAGAAAGAAATTATCTCCACATAATAAAGTCCAAATAAGAAAAACCCACAGCTAACATCATATTCCTTTTTCTTAAAGGTGAAAAGCTGAAGTTTTTTTCTTTAAGATCAGGAACAAAGCAAGGATGCTTATTTTCACTACATCTATTCAACATAGTACTGGAAGTCCTAGCCAGAGTAATTAGACAAGAAAAGGAAAGAAGAGGCATCCCAATCAGAAAGGAACAAGTAAAAAGATCTCTATTTGCATATGCCATGATCTTATATGTACGAGAGCATGGTTAAGGGTGGGGAGCAGGAGGTTTATTCCTGTTCCTTTTTTCCCCATCTAGAACCATCACTCAAAAGTATCAAGTAATCAGAAAATAAAACTTCAAATTTAGCAAATTCTAAGGAAATGACCAAGCTCAGGAGAGCACCTTATTTGTATTTCATTTGTTTATAAGGTAATCTCAAATGTTGCCTGGGAGTCCTAGAAGTGTTTACTGGAATAGTAATGGATACAGAGTTGACCCTTGAGCAATGTAAAAGTTAGGGGCACTGACCCTCCATGCTGCCAAAAATCAGCATATAACTTTTGACTCCTCTAAAACTTAACTACCAATAGCCTACTGTTGAACAGAAGCCTTACCAGTAAAATAAACAGTTGATCGACAAATATTTTGTATGTTATTTGTATCATATATTGCATTCTTACAAAAAAGTAAGCTAGAAAAAAGAAAATGTTATTAAGGGAATCATAAGGAAAAGAAAATATATTTACTATTCATTAACTGGAAGTAGATCATCATAAAGATCTTCATCCTCATCATCTTCACGTTGAGTAGGCTGAAAATAAGGAGTCAGAGGAGGGGTTGCTCTTGCTTTCTCAGGTATGGCAGAGGTAGAAGAAAATCCATGAATTAGTTGGCTCACACAGTTCAAATTCATGTTGTCCGAGGATTCACTATATTCATTGCTTCATAGATAGATAGAGATACAGATATACACAGAAGTAATTAATGGGAAAAGATATATTTCCAGCATTTAAGCTCCATGAAGGCAGAAAAAAAGTGTAGTTGGCTCATCATTCAATCGCTAATTCATTCATTCAACAAATATTAATCAAGCATTTGTTGTGTGCCAAGCACTGTGCTTGCACTGGGCATTTATTTTGAAGTGGGGTATGTTTCTATTTTTAAAACATTCTGGCATTGTGTGGAGAGTGACTTAGAGAAAGGCAAGGGGTGAGCAAAGAGACCAGGTAAAAGCCTACTGCAGTCTAGCCAAGAGATGACGGTGTTGCCCTGTATGGATGGTGATGCACTTACTGCAATGGGGAAAGCTGGGAAAACTGTTATGCGGTTGGCAAATCAAGAGTTCTGTTTTGAATGTATTGTGAATTGCCTGAGAGACATCCAAATGAAGACATCACAGAGGCAATCAACATGTACAATCTGGAGCTCAAGGGAAAGGTCTTAGTACAGAGTAGCTATTCAATACATATTGGCTTGCTTAATTAATTATTGTAAATAAGATATGGGCTCAGTATTCCAGTTGCCCAGAAGAGTGAACATAGACTAAAAAACCTAATACTTTTTCATTTCTACATCTATCATTCTTGTAGTCTACTCTCACATCCCTGATTTATTCGAAGACTAGATAGACTTTTAATTACATTTAAGTGAATTATTTTGTCATTGTGATTTTCTCTGGACTGCCAATTTCACAAGTGTTCCATCTAACATCTCATTAGGTCTCTGCCTATGTGCTATATTAATTCAGTCCTTACATTTATTTAGTTCCAAATATATGCCAAGCAACATGCTAGGTGTTAGGTGCATATTTTTGGCTATTTTTAATATTTCAAGAGACTAAAGCTGAAAAAGAAAACAATGAATAACAATAAGAAAAATTACAGTATGTGAGATTGATTATGGCTTTCCTATTTATTTATTGCTATATTTTAAGTTTTTATCACTGTGGCCTGAGAAACGATGTCTTAAAATAAGTTTGCCTCTGGACAAGGTTTGTTAGTCAGACAATAAAATATTATTTAGTCAAGGTCCTCTGGAGCGGTATTGGAGTGATAAGTGGGATAAAAAATGCATGAACCCTCTAGCCTTATGTTCAACAAAAAACAGCACAGATGGACCCACAATATAAATTATGTAGCTATAAAGTAAACAACTAACATAATAAATCTCCCCATGTTTTCATTTCCTGTGATCTTATTTTTATTAATTACACAAATAATGTAATACTGTATGTTTATTGTAAATTAAAATGCAAAGTGCACAGATTTTTTAAAAAATGAATTCATCATCATGCTCTTCACTCTCTCCCACCTGTTTTTCAGAGATAACCACTATTAACAGCTTAGTGAGTTTCCTTCAAACCATTTTCTATGCACATATGTATGTCTTTACTTTTTCAACATAAGTTAGATCATACTATGCTTTTGCTTTCTTCACTTGTTCAATATCTTAGACATTGAGCAATGTCATTTTTAAAATGCTGCATAATATCTCAGGGTACAAATGCACTATAATTTATTTATTGGTATATAATTAAGTTGCTTCCAATTTTTATCACAAAAATACTTTGGTGTGTATCCTTATAATATATATCTTTATGCACAAATGTAAATATGTTTATAAGATCAATTCCTAAAAACAGAACTCTTTAAGTTAAAGATTATGCATATCAAAATTTTAGTTGATACCTGCCAAATTGTAGATCTTTCTATACCACAATTCCTATTATGACAGATCATAGGGGACACTCAAACCATTAATCAGGTAACTATAGAGCACTGGTTCTCAAAAATGTGGTGTCTGGACTAGCCGCATCAGTATCACCTGGGAACTTAACAATAAATATAAATGCTCAGGCTCCGTCCCACCTGAACAGAATCTGAACTCTGTAGGTGTGGTCCAGAAATCTGTTTTCACAATCTCCAGGTGATTTTTATATACAACAGAATTTTGGAGCCACTGCTCAATAGTGGGCTTTCTGGCTACTCCGATTTGTGCAAGGAGCCGTGGGAAAGTGCTTCTTAAGAACCTATGCCTGACTGAATTCGTAGTAATGATCGTGGTAAATAATAGCCATCTTATTTGCTGGCTAACTTAAGGACATTGTCCTTGAGAACTGAAGAAAAATGGATTCTGTTTCTTCTCCATGTGAGAGCTTTATCAATATCTTCATGAGAAGCTACCGGTATGTTTCTCTAAATGACTCTCTTGTTTGTTGATTTCAGGCCCGGAGTCTTCAGTAAACATGGACCTGTACAGTGGAGCTCAGCGAGTGTGCAGGGCCTTCTCTGCCCTTGTTGATCAAATTGCCTTGCCCAATTTGAAGTGAAATGGAGTCCAGGCTCAAAGGCCTCTTGGTGTGATGACAAAATGCAGTTGCACAACTGTATTAAAAGAATTAAGACTTCTACCTTTCTTTTAATAGTTTAGTGTGAACTATGAAGAAAACAGGTTTTGTTTTTTGATCTCCCTCCCTACTTATGTATCTTAGTTCTGCAGTTCAGAGTGAAGGTTGGGGGTTAGCAGGGCGAGTAGAGGATGAAGAAGGAAGGAAGATATGGCAGAGTCAGATCTCTGCATGAAGGGCCATCCTTATTGTGAATACCTCCGGAGTAACATTCAAGTGTGTGACCTACATAGATGCATGCAACTGTCTTCCTCAAGTATCATGTAAATTACTGAATTGATGGCCTAATTTTCTATCTTGATGCTTCTGCTGGAGAATAGGCTTAGCAAAGAACTAACTACATACATACACACACACACACACACACAATTGAGTGCATGTAAAACTGGTAACATCTGAATAAATTTGGATTATACCACTGTCAGTTTCCTAGTTGTAATATTGTACCATAGTTATGCAAGATGTTCCCATTGGGGAAACTAGATGAAGGGCATACAGACGTCTCTGTATTATTTCTTATAACTGTATATGAATCAAGTATCTCAAAATAAAAAATTTAATATATGAATGTTTGTCGCTAAAATCTCCACATCCAACAAGTTTCACTAAAGCATCAGTGTGCCTCCTTTCTCTGTTATGTTGGATTAGGTTATAGATGCTTAACTTACTAATGCCCAAAGTAATAGCTAACCTTTTTTGACTGTTAGAGCACTTAGTTTTTAAGCACTTTCTATGTGCTGACTCATTTAATCCTCACAAGAAACCTAGGTAGTACGTTTCTCATTTTATGAGGAAACTGAGGCACAAAGAGGTTTAGTAACTTGTCCAAAGTTGATTTGGCCACTTCTTGATGAAGCTGGGATTTGAACTCAGCTTCTGAGCCTATACTGTAACTACTACTCTGTACTTCCTTTCAATAAACATTGTGGTGATTTCAATGTTTTTGTCTATTATCTTGAGATGCAGGCCATGTTACATTCAGAAAGGCTGTGGATTTTTATATGATCTGTAATTCCTAGAACTGTTTACAGAGTGAAATAATGTCTCATTGGATGGGATTAGGACTAGGTTATCCCTGTTCCGTCTCATCCTAATAGTTTTTAATCTGCTTTTCAGCCTATCATAAACTGTTGGTTTTAGTTTTGTTGCTTAGCATAGTTACTCTTCTTTTCACTTCATCCCAGTTTGTTCCTTACACTTTTGGTAAGCTTCATCAGCAAGCTGCAGTCCCTGGGCCAAATTCGGCTTGCTCCCTGTTTTGAACAGGCTATGAGCTAAGTGTGGTTATTATATCTTTTTAAAAAATTGAAAAAGTCCAAAGAAAAATATTCTGTGGCACCTGAAAAGTGTATGGACTCTGATTTCAGTGTCCATAAACAGAGTTTTATTGGAACACAACCATATTCACTCAGTTATGTATTGTGATAACTGCTTTTGTTCCGCCGAGGCCGAATTGATTAGTTACAGCAGAGACTGGATGGCCCAGAAAGCCTATAATATTTACTATCAGACTCTACAGAAAAAGATTGCCAATCCCCGTTGTGGAGTACCAAGGTGAGGGAAGAACAAAGGGCAGGCTCTTCTGCAAGCTCATTCTCCAAGTGTAGTTTCTCTTTGATGATTTATAAGAGATAGTGAATTTACGTGATAGTTTTGAAGAATATGATGAAAAACGTTAGAAAAAGCACCATCAATGCAAAATCATGAGCCTGTATGTTGAAAAAGTAGTCAAAGGGTGGCAACTTTTTAATAAAATACTAATTTTCCCAAGGAGCCAAAAGCTGAGGCTGGGCCTTCTCCCCCACCTCTTTCCCCAAGCTTCCTTTTCTTGTTGTGAAGACTCAACTAATCCTCAAATGAAACTGTTTTCTGATAATAACCCTTTAGATGCAATTTCTAGTTTAAGGAGGGCCCTAATCCTTCAATGAAAAGATTTACTGAGGCTTCCTTTGGACCTGAAAAAAGCAAGGGAATTGCTAACATATCTGAAATTCAAACTGGCTGTCAATCCTACATATTGGTTATAATAGAATGATTGGAGAGTTGGGAATAATTAGAGATAAAAATAGCATTGTGTCTCTAACTCAAATACATTTGCTAATTGGACTTCTCTGCTATAAACCTTGTTCGGGCCTGGTCATTTTTCAGGAAAATAATTATTTATGGGTTCTTCTCTTATAATGCTGTTCGCTTTATTTTGTTTTTCAATGCAAAGTGTAACCACTTATAGAGTTATAATATTTAATCAAATAACAAATATGCTTATTGGGAAATAATTTGTACCTATTTACACTTAAACATTATTTTATTAGAGTTTGGATGTCATTAGTGATAACATTAAATATTGAAATAAAGAGACTCCAATAACATTACCTGGGGTCCAGAGCTTTTATTAATTTTGTTTTCATTAGAAGAATGCTTTATTTGCCAGTTTTTTGTTTTGTTTTACTTTTTGCTTCATTCAGTATTCAAAAATATGCTGTCAAACAAGATTCAGATATCATAGATTGTCAGTAACTAGTAATTCCAAAATGTAGTCCCTTATGTGCCTGTGCATAAGCAATCCAGTGGTTGAAGTCTTGGAAGCCATGCAGTGTATTCAAGTTAAATGTATGGCACACTAGTTTATTAACATGTCAAGCATCCCAAAATGAACTATTAAATGAATACAAAGAATCCTCAAGTCATCTCTGGAAGTTATTTAACTCCTTTAGACTGTGGGATAGACTGGCAGTAATGTCACCATTAGAAGAAACATGCTAGCAGCCTAAAATAAATAAATAAATAATAGAAGGCAGCTTTAAATTAGTATACTGAGAGAATTTGGGTTCATATTTATCTCTGGGCATTCCCACCATTTAAAATAAATAAATAATCAATAGTTAAGAAAAATGTTATATATATGTATATTTAATTCCAAGGCATGAATTAGCTCCGAGTTCAATTTATTTTCTCTTTATTTCCAGGTTCACTTTTCCAATGACACTAGACCCACTCCTACGCACATGCATGCTTATCAAATCTTCAATCAACTCTTTCTTCTTTAGGAAGGAGGTCCTTAGGAGCTGAGAATATGTACCTGAAAGTAGAAAAGCGGAACTTCATAAGATCACCAAATTAGTTTCAGGTTAATTAAATATCAATAAATTATCTTTAAAAGGCAGGTTTGATGTTTCTGCCACTCCAATATCAAAATTCTCTATAAATTGATTTCAGAGGAATATATGTAAGTGTGTATTTGTGCAAAGTCTTGTGTCCTATGCAGTTTAGTTATATAATCTAAAACAAATACATTATAATAAGTACATTTTTGTCAATTAATAGGCATTAAAATATTTGCCTGATTTTAAAGTGAAAAATAGTCATTATATATTTTTATATAGAAATATGAAGAAAAAAATGTAAACCACTCAAAATGTAACCTCCTAGAGATAACCATAGTTTTGTGTATGCACACTTTATACTATAACTTATTTAACCACTACCCTATCGTGGGACATTTAGATTGTTTCCAGGTTTCCTGTTACTATACATAATATTGCAATGAATAGCTTTGGATTGCATCATTGGCTGCAGCTCTAAATGTTTCTTAACAGTAGATTTCTAGGTGGGTAATTGCTGAGTATGTGGCTTAGAAAATTTCTTGGAGTGGGTGAAGTAGAAAATCAAGCATTTGAGAACCTATTTATGTTTCTGAACCATTGTTTTCTCTTGTGGTTAGTGTTTAAAATATAAGCACTATGAGCATTGGCCAGCTAGTGAGACACCAGCTGCAAACACCATCAGATTATAAATCTAAATTTTAATTTTCTCATCGCAGAGGAAAACAAAGACTCACTATTTTTCTAGAACATACAAAATGCCAGGCTCAGGAAGGCAGGCTTTTTGTCCCTCCCAGTGGCAGAGCAAGGTTTGTTGAAGGAGGAGGCCACCATTTTTGACACAAAGAAGAATGTACTTCAAAATTTCTTCATTTGCATTGAAGCCTTTACTAACCCATGAGTTACTCTCAATTCTGTTATTTTCTATTTGGGAGTCATCAGTATGCTCTTTCCCTAACACACACTCTCTCTGTGTGTGTGTGTGTGTGTGTGTGTGTGTGTGTGTCTGTGTGTCTCTCTCACCCTTTCTCTCTTTCTCCCTTAACATAACCCATCAAAATTTAGTGGTTAACTAGTTAACTCTGGGTACATCCTCTTCATACCTTCTCTTGGATACTTCAACCTTCAGCTATTAGCCCATGCCTTTCTAGACTAAATAACAATGATCTTTAGAGGCTTTTCTCATAATGACATCTCTAGCCCTTTTATTTCTGAACCTCGTCTGTTCCTGCTAATCACTGTTACAAACAGCCATGGTGTCCAGGTCATCATCCAGCTCAGTCAACGGTCCTTGGGGTGAAGCTCTTCCAGGTTCTTCTCATAGTTAAATAAGTGCCTTTCATACGTTTCTTTTTTTTATAGAATCACAGTACATTGGAACAGAAAAGATGAGACTTTGTGTGTCATCTACTTTCCATACATTTCTTTTTCAGTTGAAAGAACTGATGGCTAAATTAGTTAACTTGCTCACGGTTACGCAGTTATTTGATATTTTTTTGTTTTCATATTTGTTGACTCAGTATTAACAAATATGATATATTAACATGCAAAATTACATAGGAGTTTTATGTTTTTAACAAAGTATGATTCATAGTAAGATTTATCAACTGCATTTACACTATTTGATCTGAAGACATCAAAATAACAAGAACTTTTTGCATATTACGTAGACACTTATTTTAGTTCTTCTTGTCTTCTGACTTGATGATGTGATTTCCTTGAGAACTATGGAGACAAGCACTGCTTCACCTTCACTCCCGTCCCAACCTAACAACATATTATCCCCGAGGGACAAAAGAAAAAAAATATTGGAGGATCCATGCAGGTACATTCAGAGCCCAGTTGAACCTCTAGAGATTTAATCAAGCCTCTTGAGATGAAATCTCAATGTTCCTGTAACTATTTAACTGTTGGACATGGTATTTCCTTGACCCAAGACCCTCTTTGACTGTGGTTATACAAACCAAATGGAAAGTCTTGTTTCTTGGTCTGCAAACAATTTTTTGTGTCAAACATTAAAATAATCTCAATAAAGTGAAACACTCACTCCTGCTATTTGGCTACTTGCATACCAACTCCCTAAAGTTTGCAGACCAGCTGAATCACCAACAACTCCGTAGCAAGACGAAGGAAGTGACTTCCAAAGCTGAAGCTGTCTCGGAGAAAAGCTTTATAAAATAAGTATATATATAACTTTTTGTGTTCAGCTGAATAGAAATAATATTTTCATTTATTTAGTAGACATTTCTTTGAGTTATTCAAAGTAAGTGCAAGATAGAAAAAGATATTGCTGGTGATTTGAGTAAGACAGCTAAATATGATTTTTTTTTTTTTTTAAGATAGAGTCTTGCTCTGTCACCCAGTCTGGAGTGCAGTGGTGCGATCTCGGCTCACTGCAAGCTCCGCCTCCCGGGTTCACGCCATTCTCCTGCCTCAGCCTCCCGAGTAGCTGGGACTACAGGTGCCCGCCACCACATCCGGCTAATTTTTTTGTATTTTTAGTAGAGACGGGGTTTCACCGTGTTAGCCAGGATGGTCTCGATCTCCTCACCTCGTGTTCCGCCTGCCTTGGCCTCCCAAAGTGCTGGGATTACAGGCGTGAGCCACCATGCCTGGCCAATATGATTTTTAAAGTATGGAAGAAAAGGCCCTACAGACCATCCTCAGCAGTATAGAATAAAAAAAAAAACCATGGTCTGTACTGGTGCTGATGCCTGGGCAGCCTCTGTTCAAAATATTTTAAAAATATGGGTAACCAACATTTAAAAATATTCATTTGGTATTTCTACTTTAGTAGCAAGGCTGCTGAAAGAATATTTCCTCTAAAAATGAAATTGGTTTGAGTTACAATAACACTTACCAAAATAATAAACTTATCTGTAAATAATAGCCATGAATTATCTGGGTTTTTTGGATTAGCAAATCATGAGGATTTTTAATTACTAAGGTTAAAACAAACTAGATATATAAAAGCTCTAAAATATCTTGGGAAAGGGTAGCACTAGAACTACCACTGTTAATTGCTATTTTAATATGGAGGTTACAGGAATATGTAACAATTCTAACACTAAAATGTACAAATGTAAAAATTAGTTATGCCCCTGTTTTCTACTGTTGTATATATAATTCTAAAGAGTTACTGGCACTCAAACAGCCCTTGATAAAAGGTTTCAATGCTCATTGGTTGAAATGACATCAAAAAAAGATAACAATAATATGTATAGGGTTCAGGCATCTCTCTGCTTACTCACAGAGGCTTACTCAACCTCATTCTAATTCTATAAGGGACTTTTTTTCTGTACCCTCAGACGAGACTATTTGAATATAGTATTTACTTCAATGAAAAACTCTAAATTTGTAGCAAGTTCCAACTTACTAAAAATTAATTACTCAGATTGCTGCAAGTTAATTACTTACTTGAGATTCATTCAAAAAGCAACATGAAGTGAATCTACATGCCAGCTGACTTTTTTACTCTTTATTTCTTCAACTGAATACCTCTCAAAGAGCCTCTCTATTTACATGAAAGCAATATTTATTTTCAGTTTAACAAGGGCAAGAATTTGTGTGCTGCAAATGTTTCCTAAGCTTATATTCAAGTCTTCTCAATTCCACGGCAAGTAAACATCAGGTTATGACTGCCAGTGTTCAGGCTAATAGTAAAAAATAATGTTGATCTTGGGGGATCTGTTTATACTTTTATGCTGTATTTTGGGAATCATGCTTTTTGTCTTTTCTTTCTGACTCTTCCTTGCTGCTGTTCACAGGAAGTATGAGGATGAGGACAATATGTTGATATAAACAGCTACTATGCAATGCAAAAAGAAGTACTATCTATCTTCCTATCAGTTATGTGCTCTTGGGGTTCACCTCTTGAGAGGAATATATATGACACTGGATTCCCCTAATGCCATTTCCCTCTTCCTCACAATTCAGCACATTCATACTTGATTGACCCTTTCAAAAGACATGGGAGCTGGGGTTGACCACCTTGTTTACTCCTTGTGTGCTGTGGCTGCGCTGCTGAGATTTTCTCTTCCTCTCCAACCAATTGCCTCCTTCCTAAGCCATGGTTCCTAGAGAGCACACAGTCCACATAGATGTCCCAGAAGAGTTGGGCCAGATCCCAAAACAGTGCTCCATGCTTCAAGTTCTCAGATGACTTCAGGTAGATCATAAAATCCCAGAAGCCTGAAACAGTGTTGGAAACGCGAGGTTTCCACATTTCCAGGAGAAGCACTGAGGAGGATTCCCAGCACTGAGGATCAGCTTGGCTAAGAGCCAGCAAGTCTGTCTGGCTATGGCAGAAGAAAGGAGATACACAGCACATTCCCACAATGAGCAGGGAGCAGGTGAAGCTCAAGGGGCGGTGGATCCCTCCTCTGTTCCCAGGATCAGCCATGGCCCTAAAACTGCACAGGATGGAAATATTTCTTATCAGTCCCCGCTTGTGCTCTGCTCAGTAAAGAAAATAAGTATGCCCTTAATAACCTTACTTCCAGCAAAGGAAACACATCATTGTCACAAAGTAGGGAAATCTTAGCCAAGCTCCCATATCACAAGCTCCGTTCTATCTAAAATGACTCATTGCCAGGCCAGGGAGTGAACATAAATCCAAGACGGTCAGGCCAAGACATATTCCCTCCTAAGATGTGTTCCTTTACAAGATGAATAAATTAATCTGCTAATCTGTTTTTCTCTGGTACAGAAGAATGTAGCCTAACAGCATACTAAGTGAACATTTAAAATTTTGCTGCATGGCTTTAACTATTCCATAATATCTTAGCGAAACCTGGCTCTCCTAATCTAGGACTTATATATAATTAAGAATTTAAATATATTTAACCTTTAGATCCATTCCTGTTCACTGTGACTTTTAATTTTTTTAAAAAATACATCAGAATTGTCAAATGTTATAGTAAAATTAACAAAAGACAATGTGCTAAAAGTATGGATGAATATATGTGGAAACAAAGAGACATATATTCAACCAATTAGAGTAGAATCAATAAGCATTTTACAAATACCAATAATGTTCTGCAATTCTGATATAACTTTCATAAAGATAATGTTTTATAATCTCTCTGTTCTTGCTATGAATCTCAAGGATTTTTTTTTTAAAAAACGTGACTCTCATTCAACTTTTCTGGCTTTCAATGTCTGTTGCCATAAAATTGAGTCATCTACATACCACTTTGAAATTGTTCTTTTGTTACCACTTCGGACAGGTGCAATGATAAACGATGCTCTTGAAATAATAATAACCCAAATGTTCACTTTTTTTGCCAGAAAAAGTGTATATATTCCTTCACAGACTATACAAAATGTGTATCACATTTAAACAGCTCTAACATAAAGAAAAAATAGGAAGGGCACATACAGCTCACTTTCAGGTTTGTATTATATTTCCAAACCTTTTAGATGTTAGTATCATGAAAGCAAGCAAAATACAGCTTGTGGGAATACTCTTATATTGGAATATTTAATGATAACACCATAAGTTGGATAATCTGTCTCTTCTGAACAGCAGTAGGACATGTTTAGGTACTGTTAAATAAATATTTCAGAAAGTGTCTTTGAACATGCATGTTCCTATATTGAAGAAGCATGTTAGAGATACAAGATTATTCAAAAACTATTTCCTCTATCTTTCATATCATGTATGCATTATCTCTACTTGAAATCATATTTGTTGTGTCCCTTTCCGAACTAAAATATCGAGGTACCTCAAAGGGTGGTTTTCCTAAAGGACAAGTCTAAGCTAAGTTTTCAGAGGGCAGGACTCTGTCCAAGGTACTGAAGTTGGCGTTATCCGGGACTCCCTGTCTGCTGGCGCCACGGCGCTCAAATTGGCTCCTTTAGGTCCCCTTCTAAATTTTAGGAGAGGCTTCCCAGACCCTGGAAAGGTGTTTCTCTGAGTTCCTTGAACCTAGAGTCCTCCGTGCACCCCGCTACGAGCCCCGCGCTGAGTCTCGGCCCCGCACTTGATTGCGCAGCCTCACCCTCCGCAGGGCGGAGCTGCCAGGGACCCACTCTGTCCTTTGGGCCCCACTCACCTCCTGACTCGGCGGCTCTACTCCCAGATGGCACAAGGGCTTCCCTCCGCACTCACCCGCCTGGCCCCTTCCGGGTTCCCTCGAACGCGTGGAGAGAGTTCCCTCGAGTACGCGGAGAGGAAACGCTCAGGCTGCTCCCGAGCGAGTGGCTGTCCCCAGCTTCCGCGTCCTGGAGGCTACCGTGCCTCTACTTAAGCAGTGGGAGTGCTCGGCGCCTCTCCAAGTCTACGTCAAAGCTCCTGGAAACTGCCGCCACCTCTCGCCTCCAAGTCCGTCTCCCGCACCCTCCTCTTCTCTCCCTCCCCGGAGAATTTCGGTTCAGGAAACCAGCGGGCTTGGCCACACACACTCTCATTGGCCTTGACCCGCACCCACTCTGCACCTGCCGGAATTGAGCCTCTAATGCGGCTGGGCTTCCCGCTCCCACCTCGCGGGTGCGTGCCGATGCGGCGGGAACTGCAAAGTTAGGGCCCAGCTCCGCGCTGGTCCAGGGGACAGCAGGGGTTCCCGCTCACCACACGGGCCTCGTCCGAGAATAAAGGGGTGTGAGGGAAGACTGTGGACTCTTGGGGTCGGAGGAGGGACATGAGCTGCCTCTCGACACTCAGCAAGGGCTCAGAGGAAATAAGGCGCCTCCTCGAGATATTCCAGGTGTGAATTTCTCCTGCCTGTAGCCCTGGGCCGAAAGGAGAAAAACACCCCCGAGGGCAGAGATGAGGATAGGGACTTCGCCCTGCTGGAAGCTCCCCCTGACTGTTGCCAGGACACCCCGTTGTTTCCAGACCCTGGCCTGGGTCACTCAGGAGACTGGGTTGCTGCTGGCATCGCTTTGGTCAGCACCTCAACCCCCCAACAACCCCGCTCCAGATTTCACAGCAGGGTCCCAGCTTTCCAAGAAAAAAAAAGCGCCTGGGATTCCCTTTGATTCTCACCTCACAGCTACTTACTATCCCAGTCCCAGATTAGAGCCCTGTCACTGCTCCAGTGCTCCTCTGAGCATAAGTGCCCATCTTAACTGAAACACACCCAGCCAAGGGGCCTGAGGCAAAGGTCTTCCCTCTGCAAGTGTTTCCACGTTTTGCCCCTTTCCTGAAAATTCCTTCAGCCCCTGAAAACCACTTGTAGTCTCCACTAACTGAAGGCTTTTGTGCCAGCTCAATAGTATCCATGGTTACCTTCCGAGGGGCACAAGGCTTTGTAGTAAGATTTGCCGAAGCCACAGAGAACCAGCCCCTTCCCCAAGGTACCATTAAATAGGAGGTCTGAAGAGGAGTTCTGGGGGGCTCTGAGCTATTCCTCCTGCTCAGAAATGATGGAGTGTACTTCAGTTTCTCCATGTGTGAGCTGTATCTAATGTCTGCTTCTATTCACCCCATAGGGCTGTGGAAAAAGATCAAGGGTGAAGTCTTGGACTTGCTTCCTGAACTTTGAGGAGCTCATGCCTTTGGAGAAAACATACTTCAGGACATCATCCAGGAGAAGTTCCCCAACCTAACAAGATAGGGCAACATTTAAATTCAGGAAATCCAGACAACTCCAGTAAGATACTCCATGACAAGATCAACCCCAAGACACATAATCGTCAGATCGAGAAAGCATTTGGAGGTGACTCGTGAATGTCTGGAAAAACGAGTTGTACAGGTATCCTAAAGCCAAAGGGTCAGGAGTGCAGTTTCAGGGGTAGAAGACAGTACAAGCAAAGGCAGGAAGGGAGTGCTCATCGCAGTTCATGCTTCTAGGGAGCGAAGTCAAAGAAAGGACTGTAGAGAGGGAAGGCCGAACAGAACAGAGGTAAAGATGTGTCCCCTGGTTTGGGACGTGTCAATAGTTACATTACTGTTGAAAACATTCATATATAAACATGCAGTGCTTACTTTATTTTCAAGTGCCTATGTGTTAGGCACTATTTTACATGCTGTGTATACAGAAGGAACAAAACAAAGTCCTTGTACGCATGTAGCTTACATGCTAGTTGAGTCTGGAGTGATGGAAAAAAATTATTTATATTTTAATTTTAAAATTATATCTATACACATATATAGTGTATATGTATACGTGTGCACACACATAATATATGATTTATGCTTCTAGTTTCTATGTTGAATGGTGAGTTTACAGCTATCTATCAAAAACAAACACACAACTAGCTAATTAAATACACAAGTAGTGCCATGCATGAGTCAATAAAGTTTATCCGTCATTCTGAAGCCCAAGAAAAAATATATGAGTAAAGTGTCAGATGTGATAAGAAAAACAAAGGGTCAGCCAGGTGCAGTGGTTCATGCCTGTAATCCCAGCAGTTTGGGAGGCCGAGACAGGTGGATCACCTGAGGTTGGGAGTTCAAGACCAGCCTGGCCAACATGGTAAAACCCCATCTGTACTAAAAAAAATACAAATACATACACAGAATTAGCTTGGTGTGGTGGCACGCATTTGTACTCCCAGAAACTCAGGAAGCTAAGGCACGAGAATCGCTTGAATCCAGCAGGCGGAGGTTGCACTGAGCTGAGATCACGCCACTGCACTACAGCCTGGATTACAAAGCGAGTCTCTGTGAAAAAAACAAAGGGTCATCAACAAAAAGTAAAGCAGGGAAAAGGATGATGGAGAAGAGCTATTTTATATAGAATACTAAGAGAAGCCCTTCCTGATAAGAAGATATTTGAGCAAAGACCCAAAAAAGTGAGAGGGTGAGTCATGCATAGTAAAAGAATGCTTCAGGCTGGGGGTGGGAAAACAAGTCTGATGGCTTTGGAACAAGTGTGGTGTGAGAAGGGTGTTTTTGAGGCATAGTGGCAGGACATGAGGTCAGAGAAGTGACCAAAAATCCATGTTGGTTGCTCAGTAGAGAACAGACCAGAGAGGAGCAAGGGACGAGGAGGGAGCTCAGTTAGGAGCTGTTGCAATCAAGGTGGGATAAGATGGCGGAATAGATAAGGGTGGCAGCAGTGGAGAGGGTGAAAGTGGTCAGATTCTGAATATATTTTGATGGTAGAAGGGATAAGACTCATCGATGGACTGGATATAAGGTCCAACAGAGAGAGAGAAGTTGAAGATGACACCAACTTTTGGGGAATAAGTAAATGGAAATTTGAATTTCCATCAGCTGAAAGGAGAAATGATTTGAGGAATAGGTTTAGGAAAGGAAAATAAGAATCTAGTTTTAAACATGTTGAGTGTGAGATGACTGACATCCAAATGGAAATTCCAAGTAGGTAGGGAAGAAGGGGGAACTTACGATAAATATTTGGGATACAGTGCTCAGGAAAGAGGTCCAGATTTGGGATTTCATCAACATGTAGGCAATATTTTGAGCCATCAGAGAAAAGTGTGGAAAGTGGCTACAACAGTAGGGATACAACTTGGGATAGAACCTGGAAAATGCCAGTATTGGAGTCACTAAGAAACAAAGAGATAGGAGGAATCAGGAGAGTGTGCTGCCTTGGAAGCCAGTTAGGTAGAGCTTTTCACATAAAGAAGAAATCAACCATATCACACAAACTCAGCAAAGGGGGTCAATAAAATGAAGATGAAAAAATTCCATTGGATCTAAAAAATAGCAGGTCACCAAGAAACTTGTTAAGGGCAATTTCAACTAAATGTTAAGGGAGGAGAAGTTGCGGTAGGCTGAAGCAGACATGGAAGGTGAGAAAATGAAGACAGTGCCTGTGGAGTATTCTCCATGAAGTTCAAATAAGAGGGAGAAAGACTGGAGTGGAAAGTTAGGAGTTGGGCCTTGGCCATGTTTACAGGCTGAGGGAGAGAAACTCATAGAGAGAGAGGGGTTGCAGATTAGGAGAGAAGGATGACTAGTAACCTCAGAAGAAACAATAAGCAACAGGGGTAAGAGGATAAGGAGGAGCCAGACTACAACAGAAGGGCAGAACACTTGCCCTTGAAAACAGAGGGAGAAAGGGAGGTTCTCTGTTGATGTGGATATGTCTACAGGTAGTGTGGTGGGTAGGGGGCGCAGAAGTTAAGAGACACGCGACCAATGGTCTTATTTTCTCAATGAAGTAAGATGCACAGTGATCCACAAAAAAAGTGAATGAGGGTAGGTGTTAAGTAGGAAGCTTAAAAAGAGCAGAAAAGCTGTGATTAATCTTTGAAGGAAAGAAGAGAGAGGAGAGAGGAGATAGACTAAAGAACAGTACTCAAATCCCAGGTAAAGTTTGCATCAATTTGTCATAAACATTTTGCATGCTTGTATGGCTTTTATGAGGTAAAATAACATAATAGTGAAGACTATCATGCTATGGATCCCTCACTTGTTATATGTCATTGAGTCTTAGAGGCAATGCACATTTAACACTGCTGAAATCAGGATATATCTGTCAACTGATGGCACCTTGTAATTAGAATTGCAGCATTTTCTTTTAGTTTTCTTTTTTTTTTAATAATGAGATGTCTACAATTTGATATAATCAAGTGCTTTTGATTTGATATAATGCTTTGGGCAAGTTAGTTAATCTTTGTGAAACAGATTTCTTGCCTGTAAAATGGGCAGAAATGTTCCTCATGGTTAGTAAGGATAAAATGAGATCATATACAGAAAACACTTAGAATGGTGCTAAATGTAGCAAGACTTGACAAATATTAGTTATTTTTTTCCTTCTACAATGCTCATCTGACTGAATGTAAGAGAAAAGAATAGTCATTACGCCACCGATTAAAGGAATCAAGGGTGTAAGCAGGCTAGAAAAAGGAGTAGAGAAATGAAAGACTGGGAGGAAAGGGGGGAACTGGAAGTCTCATTGAAGGCAGAGAAAACAGGTATAAGTGGAGTAAGGAGAGGGGACACTGAAAGGCAGGAGAGGGAGATTCATTATTCAGATTTCAGAGGTGGAGATTTTCCCATTTTTGTGCTCTGAATCCTAAGCACAACCACTGAAATAAGTGGCTAAGATGAAGTGATAAAGGCCACTGTAATTGAGCTCCACCTTTCTTATAAGTCTGAAAATAATGAATTGAAATGGTCATCCTATTTCATAGAAGCTGAAGGTGTGTGACATCACCATCCTAATCAGAAGGCCTAGAGCAGCTCTTGACAATGGGAATAAAAATTATTTTAAAAGATAATTTTTATGTCTAGCTGGTATCTGCTCATATGCTTTTTTTTCTTTAATATAACAGTCATGTGTTGCATAAGGATGATGTTTCAGTCAACAACGAACTGCATATAAGACAGTGGTCCCATAAAATTATAATCTATATTTTTTACTTTACCTTTTCTGTGTTTAGATGCACAAATACTTACCATTGTGTTACAATTGCCTACAGTATTCAGTGCAGTAACATGCTGTACAAGTCTGTAGCCTAAGAGCAATAGGCGATACTCTATAGCGTAAGTGTGTAGTAGGCTATACAATCGAGATTGGTATAAGTACACTCTATGATGTTCCCACAACAACGAAATCGCCTTATGATGCTTTTCTCAGAAAGTATCCCCTACGTTAAGTAATGCATGACAGTAATTACTTGGGACAGGAAGTTTTGACCTTCAGTATACTTTTGTACTGCCACCCTGGAATATAATGTCCTGATTAAACATTTCTCATAAATATAAGTTATCAACTTGTACTTGTAAATTAAGTAATCATCTTATTGAATTTTTAAATTTAGAGTAAGAACCTAACCACTACATACTCTGTTGTAACATATATTTCTATTTCTTGGTTATTGGGGCAACTTGGCAAGATTCTTGGGAAGGGGAATATATGTGGGTTTTTTTGTTTGTTTGTTCTTGGTGTTTTTTTTTTTTTTTTTTTTTTTTTTTGTAGACAGAGTTTTGCTCTTGTTGCCCAGGCTGGAGTGCAATGGCACAATCTCGGCTCACTGCAACCTACGCCTCCCAGGTTCAAGCTATTCTCTGCCTCAGCCTCCCAAGTAGCTGGGATTACAGGTGCCTGCCACCACACCTGGCTAATTTTTTTTTTTTTTTTTTTTGGATTTTTAGTAGAGATGGGGATTCACCATCTTCACCAGGCTGGTCTTTAACTCCTGATCTCGTGATCCGCCCGCCTCGGCCTCCCAAAGTGCTGGGATTACAGGCCTGAGCCACCACATCTGGCCAAATATATGTTTTTTAATCCTGATCCCCACTCTCAGCTTGATAATTGCAAGAGGAAAATGACATTCCAATTCCTGCATTTAGATAAAAAGAAAGCCACCACCAAGCCATTAGATTGAAACACTCTATATTCTGTTGAACACATAAGGATGCTTAGTTTGATGTCTTATCATTGTGGTTTCATTTTCACAGATTAGACTCTCTCTAGCAAAGGCTAACATTTGGACAGCACCTACATTTTACAAAACATTATTTTCATATACATGGTCTCAGGTGATGTCAAAGAAAACACCATTTTTTTTCCTCCCTATTTCCCATTAAGGGATTTTTATTGGGTCACTTAGTTGATTAAGAGTGATGGTTCTTTTTCTGAAACTTAGGTTGATTCACTGTCATTTATCTGTCCTAAATAATGTGCATTGTCTGTCACTCTCTATTAACTTTACCATATAGTCTATCCTTATTCCTCTACTTGTCCCCCAATATCAACTAGGAAGGAGCATAGGGCAGTCTCAACTGCAGAGAAAATAATTTTAACGATTTTCATCTGAACTCAGTTCATCACATCATCATTCTGACTTGTTAAAAAATATTCAGAAAACCAATGGTCATTTAAAATTACATGATGCTAAATAACTGGTTTGACTGGCATTTGTCACCCAAAGAGTTGTTTCAGCTTTGTGCAGTTGCAGCCTAAGGCTAAAGGATGACTAGTTGAAAAGTAAATTGCAATTAGCTGAAGGTGCCCCATGGGTAGATTTTCTGATTTTTGCCACTTGAAGCAATTCTCAAAGACATTAAAAAGGACTTCTGATTAGTTTTAATGAAATTCGAGAGCAGTTATATAGGTAGTTTGCATCTTCAGCAGTGCATTAATTTGCAAATGATGGGGACAACCTTTAAGAATAGGGTGCTTCTTTAACATTTAGGATCAGATAGTAAAAATAATTATTTTTCTCTCATTCTTTGTGCTTTTCCATCATTTGGAAATGGCAATAAACAAGGACAATTTCCTGGAATGCTCATTGGGGTAAGTGGATGAGTCATTCTTAAAGTGTCATCAAATTTATACGGACAAGTTGCAGTGAAGTAGTCAGATGATATTGGACATTGATTCCAAAATGTGTGAAAAAGGAAAGTTACTTGGGGATACAGGAATAGTTCATTCATGTTTTTTCTGCTTGTCCAGCTGAAGATACTGTAGTTGTAATAATAGATGTAGTAGTGTTTTTTTCCCCCAGGGTACTTATCAAGATACTTGCATTCTTTGACCATTCTTTCAAGCAGGTTTCAACACCCACAGGGATTCCTTTGGCTTTGCCAAGAGTTGGGTTTTTCTTTTGCAATTATCCCAGCAGTTCAAGAGTGACTATTACAGATACCGACTTTCAGAATTCTCCTATCTTTTGTCCTACTGATTTCCAAAAAAGACTACAATATAATGAATTTGTTTTCAATTTGGTTTATATACCAAGGCAACAATGACAAAAGTCTAAGATTTTAGAATTGTAAGTTTCCTTTTCCTAAGGCTTCAATTATGATGGAATAGAAAAAACAAAACAAAAACCAAACCAAAACAAACCATTAAATTTCTACTTCAACATATGGGAAGCAGGAGGATTCACAAAGCTTGGGGTCCAATGACAGTCATGGACTTTTGCCAAGCTGAAAACATCTGTGAAAAATGAGGATATAGACCTATATGTTGAATGCATAAAACATCTTACAGTTTGAGCAGGGCTTCTGGGATGAGGAGCTTTCCTTGACTCATGTATGTCTAAGGGAGTTGGTTCTGCTGTGCACTGTTACCATACAATTTTGTTCATGCTTGCATTATTTGCTTAGTGTATTCTAATTGTTATACATGCCTATCTGTCTCTCCTCACCTTCCCACTGCTACTTAAACTAGACTATGAGCTCCTTCAGAGTGGGAGTCATGTCTAACCATTCTCAGCCTTAGAGCCCAAAACATGTATGATAATGTCCTATTCAATGCTGGTTGAATTTACATATGAGAATTGCCCCTTTTTGAATCTGAGGCTGGAGATGTGAGTGTCATTAATTAACTTTGGTGAATTTTCTTTCACATGTCTGGACAGTGAAGTAAAAATGTCAGTCAACTAATTTAGTTTTTTTTCTTCATCCAGTGCCCAAAATGTTAATTACACTTTTGCTGAATGAGGATACTGCTTTGTTGTGATTAGGAACACATTTTCTAAAGTGAAGTTTCTGATTGAAAGACTATCATCTGAAAAGTAGATGTCAGGTATAAAAGTATAAAACCATTTTTCTCTGAGAAAAAAATTCATATCCAATGATAAGATTTTAAATTTCTGGCATTAGAAAATTAGAAATATTCAAAATCTAGTTTGAGATCATTTTTGTAACATGGTGCATCAGCTAGGAATGCATTAAGCTGTAAGTAACAGAAAAACTGACTACATGTGGCTGCTGATGTTAATTCAGTGGCCCAAGGATATTAGTCCTACATTTCCACAATTTTCTTGACCTTTCTTAAACCCGTAGGTTGGTTGCCACAGCTCCAGACATAAAATCTATATGTCAGGCAGGAAGCAAGTGGAAGGATTGCTCCAGCCCAGCCACATCTGCCCCCTTTTAAGGAAGAAAGTAAAAGCATTTCAAAATTAACCCTCAACAGTAGACATAGGCTTGAAATTCAAGAACTATAACTAAATCACATGGTAATTAAGAGAGGCAAACAAGTTTAGGCAAAAAGACCTTCAGTGGGAGAAAGTAAAGTACTTTGTCCAAGGAGCTGAGAATGGCTTTCTTTGGAGACAGCAAGTTTAATACAAGGTAATGTGAGCTGATGGGAAACCATGCATTGAATAAATTCAAGCTTAACCCTAAATTGCGATAATTTCTTTTCTGCTTATCTTTTTATTTTCTTAGGTCTTGACTTATTCTCTTAAAAATGGAAGTTTATTATTACTCATCAAACATTATTTATTTGAGAAATAGAAGATGCTGGTAAGAATGCAATGATGGTTCCATAAACTATTTGGGACTGCATCTGAAAGTCCATCATTTCTAGGACTTTAAACAGATCATTTCATCTATCCTATGCATCATTGTTCTCTGTAAGTTGAGTGGGTCCAATTAGGTAATCTCAGATTTTTTTCTTGCTTTATCAATTTATTATTCTATGATTTGGGACAGTAATCTATTAATTCAATAAATGTCTAGAAATCCTAGTGTTTAGCAAATTATTAAAATTAAGAACTAGAGTGGTAAGATCACTGTAGAAAAGAGTTAAACATTGATATATCTCATGAGAAGCAATTACGCTCCTTGATATAAATCAGAGAGAAATTCTTACACTTGTACACTAAGAAATATGCACAAGAACATTCACAGAGACACTATTTATATGGAAAATACAGGGAAGAACTCAAATGCTCAAAGAGTAGGAAATGAATAAATTGTGGTATATTTACACAATAGACGATTTCACAGCAGTTAAAATGAATGAAGTACAGCTAGTTGGAACACCACGGATGGATTATAGAAAAATAATATTGAGAAGGAAAACATAAGTCCCCAAAGATTATATAGAGAATGTCAATACCCTTTTTATAAATTTATGACAACTAAAACTTAATAACACATTTATTAATAATAATAAAAATTATGTTTAAAAAGTATGTTTTCAACAATAAAACCATTGTTACCAGAATCAAGGTACTAATTACATTAGGGGAGAGGAGGCCAAGAACATGATAGAGGAGTTTAACATAGGCAATATTAGTTACTGTCAATGTTCTAATTATCATTTTGAGTGGTAGACTCATGGATATTTATGATTTTAAGTAAGTATGTAAGTATATAAATACATATATGCATGTGAAAGGCCAATGGACTAACGATAGGGTATATCAAAATATAGGGTATATCAATGATAGGGATTATGATTAAACCCATTCTGTGCACCTATATTTCAAGTAAAAAAAATAGAAGTCCATATTGCCCATGGAACTTCTTTATTCTCAGCTAATGTTCTTCATTCCTCATGTAAAACAGATGGTACAAACATTAATTCCCCAAAAATGGTAGAATTCTCTTGGTTATTTAGGATGTCTTCTATTAAAGAACCTAGTTCATTTAACTCATGTTAATAAAACAAGGAGGGAAACCACAAATATATCACACACTGTCCTGAACTCTAGTTGGGATGCCAACAGGGAGGACAACAGTCACTGTCTATTTTCTGTGACACCAGTCTCACCCCTGCTCCTTCACCGAAGTGAGGTCAGGACAGTGAGATGTGAGGGGTCATCCATAGCATCTTTCTGAGCAAAGAGAAGATTGTTGAGATGACCAAATACTTGCTATTTCAAACCACATTCTCTACTGGGTGCCATCAAAGATCATCAAGATATGTTTTAAACCACTGATGAATCCACAAGCTAATGGAGAACACAGCAGACAAGAGTAGACAGAGTACAAGGCACTAAAATATAATGACAGACATGCACAAACCAAAGCAATTCACTTGTTTAATATTACACGAGCACATGCACACACACACACATGCCATCTGTCATGGACATAAAGGAATATATCAATGGATAAAGTTAGCAAAGTCTTTGCTCTCCAGGAACTTCCATTTCTCCTGGAGGAGACTAACAATATTTAAGGGAACAAATAGATCAACAAGATAATTTAAAACAGCACAAGTGAAACAAAGACAATAAAAGCATGTATTATGATAGAGATCAAGGAGAAAAACATTGCATTAAGATCACAAACAACTTCAGTCCTCCTAACTTTTGAAGACCTTCAATCCACGCTGGCTTTGAAATTGTATCAATGCTCATTTGAACAAAATCACAACGCCTTATGTTTATAAAATGGATCATCCAAATTGAATTTCGTATTATTCAAATTCAAGTGTCATTAGGCATGCACATCTGAAACCACTGAAACCTAACCAAAGTGTATGTGGAGAGCTTAAACCTCTTCACCATTCAGTCACTCTGCAATCAGGCTCCTGTTTAGTACCCTCCCCTTCCTTAAAAACCTTCAGGATGACTGGTGCCCCCCACTCTCCTGCAGTAACTAGCAGCTACTGAAAAAGAGTCCATTTCTTTCAACAGGGCCATGCTTCTCACATGTCTGAGGGTTATATCCTAAGATAAATTAAATGTATGTGTATATACATAAGCACAGATTTTTAAAGACAAGTTACATATTCAAAGATATGTTACACTATATATTCAAATACTCATACAAATAATCTCTATCCTATCTGTGTATCCTATACTGAGACTAAATTTCATACCTAATGCACATCTTGAAGTAGCCATCCATATGTCACTCTGATTTAATAATCATGCAGAGCCAGGCACGATGGCTCATACCTGTAATCCCAGTATTTTGGAAGACTAAGGTGGGTGGATCATTTGAGGTCAAGGGTTCAAGACCAGCCTGGCCAACATGGTGAAACCCCAACTCTTCTAAGAATACAAAACTTAGCCACGCATGATGGTGGGCACCTGTAATCCCAGCTACTCAGGAGGCTGAGGCAGGAGAACCGCTTGAACCTGGGAGGCAGAGGCTGCAGTGAGCCCAGACTGTGCCACTGCACTCCAGCCTAGGCGAGACTCTGTTTCAAATAATAATAATAATAATGATAATAATCATGCAGAAAACTTCTAGACTCTAACAGAGTTGTGACATCAACTGCTGATTAAGTTTTAGTGAGAAGTTTATAATTTCCTATATATCTTCCGCTGATATATGAGTTTGTAATTTTTTTCAACTCATAGACCTGATCTAGAGTTACTCTCAGAAAACTGACCACCTTTGCTCTCAAACACGACATCTGCCCTTGATATACAGCATAGCTTATCTTCCCCAGTAGAAAAAGAACATTTTGGAACAAGTTTCTTGACTTTAGTCAGCACTTCTCCCTCACTGGGTAACAAGTACAAGTGATGGAACTGTTCAGGAGATCTATTACACAATCATTGCATCGATCCCTTTCAGGACCAGAAGGGTACCATGCAATAACCCACACTAGAAGCATTTGCTTTAGGCATTTCATAAAACCCAGCAGTGTTTCTGATGGCTTGTTGGTGCTGGTTGTGAAGACCGTTGAACGCTTATCTTTTCTAATTATAAACATTTCAGATGTAAAAGTCTAGAATAGGGGAGGAAATTAAAACAGCAAACAGAGTTAAAGCCATGCTCATCTGCTAATAGATCCAAGTCCCCTTTCTCTGGTCATTTTTGAAAAGTCATATTTACTGACTGAGGTGTGACCCCTCCCTCCCATTTCTAAATCACTGTAGTTTAAGCACACTCTGTAGAGACCCACAGTCCCTGGCAGCTTTCCAGATACCACACTTCTCCCTTTCTCTAAAATTGTTCCTAGGACAAAGGTCAGCCTCACAACACATTCTATAGAACAACCTTTCTCACAGTGAATAGCAGGCATGAAAGCATCCACAGGCCCCCGTATCTGGAGGCAGGAAGAGCATTATGAGGGGATGGGATTATTCTTTCGGGATGCTTCCAGGACTTAATTTTTCCATGGTGGAAAATATCGCTTGTTTTCAAAAGCAAGATTTCACCATTATTTTTAGCTGTCGCTCACATTTTTTGTAAGGAGTTCTGTTTTAGATATTGATCATTTTTTGTACAAGCAATTCAAAATTTATCTTTATCTTTCACTAACATAAAAGTAAATACATGCAAGACTTGGTAACCAAACGAGTTGCAAAGCTACTTAGCTAACTATCAAAATATTGCAGAGAGATTACCTATGTTACAAAGTATTTGTAATAGTCCACTAATATAAGTGATATGTGACTTGTGGATATATCAGTTGTTTGCCTTTCTGCATAACTTGAAATTGTATACATGTAGTCAAAGGACTTCCTTCAAAGATGTTCATCTGTAATTCATTCATCTGAAAAAGCAAAAAGCTTTTTATTCCATATCGGCAGCTACCCACTAGGTATATATGCTGAGAACAAAGCAAAAATTGACTGAGTTGACTACATTTTCCTCCTTTCATCGGATTATTTGGTCTTATATAAATATGTGAATACAAGGCCTCATATTTCTTAATAAAGAAAGATTTATTTATTTCTAACCGCAACAAATTAAATGTGGCTCCAGGCAATACATTGCCAAGAAAGGAGAAGTTATACAACTTTCTGAGAACTTGGTGAATAACAACTAGAGCCATTTTGGTTACCTGTACCCATTCCTTCCTACTTGGATTGCCTCCTTTCATTTCGTATGCTCAGCTCACACTTCTCAAAATACTAAATGCTTGAAGAAATGTCTTAAGCATCTCACCTCTTTTTTGTATGACACCGAGCATATAATTTGGAGACTTGAGAACAATCACAACTTTCTTTGTGTTCTACCTGTGATGACCTTCTGCTCTTTTGTCATAGTGGCCCAGGAATAAGGTTTTTCTGTGGAAAGCTGTTAGGAAGTTATTGATAAACAGCTACTCTGCAGATAAATCAAAATTGGTTTCTAATAAGTACAGGAGTGTAATTCTTATCTCTTGTTCCTGGAAGACCAAAAATCTTGCAATTTCAGCTTCAGCCTCAAGAAAGTACAACTGTGGTTGTAGTAATGGAAGTAAATGTTTCCTTTTTAAAATCATTCTTTTGCAACACAGAGATATTATCAAACACTTCTTTAAGTGTGGACATCCTAGTTTCCCTCAAAAGTGTTTTAGGTATCCTATTAACGTTCCCAGGTCTTTGGTAGTTGGGTTGTGTGTTATCCATTATTGAGTCCCCATCAACTGGAATCATGGCTACAATGAGAAGAGCTGATTCATACTTTCTTCATCAATTCTGTTCTTGGAACTAACAAAACTCAGTTCTGCTCTCAGTAATCTTTTAGCACACAGTGCTCATCTCATGGAAATAATGGTCTCTCAGGTCATTTATTCTATATTTTTCCTCAGTCTCTTTAGTCTCCTCTCTTCACCTCTCCCTTGCTTTCCCTTTCTATGCTACTTCCCCTGGAAATTGCCTCAAGTTTTTCTGGTTTAAATTATTTTATAGCATAAATGATTATGGCTTAAATTATGACTTAAACTTTTGAATCTTACATGGTTCTCAAGTAAATATTTCTGTGCTAGCCTCTCTGATGAGTTCCATGCTCTCCTTTCAATAGCCTGCTGGACATCTTCACCTAGATTCCCTTTAGCCCTTCAACTCCAGCAGATCAAAATGGAATACATCTTTGCTCCCTAAACCAGGATCTCTTCCATAAAGTCACCATCAGTCCAATCACCAGATATCAAACCTGGACTTTATGTTTTACTCTTCCCTGCCTCTTGCTTCCCAAAATCAACGCACAGTTCTGTCGATTCTACTCGTGTGATCTTTCCCTTCTTCATTTTGCATTGCCGGAGCCCTGTGTCAGGTGTTCATTATCTTGGACCTGTGGTATGGCCTTGGCATCCTAACTGTTTTAGCACCTCTTGCCTCTCTTACCCACAGTCCATCTTACATATGACTGCCAGATAGCTACCATTACTCTGATCCTCAGAAGCCTGCTCACAACTGCCTGCAGAACCAAGTCCACACTACTGTTCAGGATCTCTACAATCTTACTCAAAGGTACAGTAGCTCACTCCTCACTTCCTTCCCTCCCCCTTTATACACTATGTGGTGATAAAAACAAACTGGTGATTGTGCCAGATGGAGTTTCCCAGGAAGCAGTCTCTGGGGCAGAGATTAGCAGGCACAGTGTTGATTTGGAGTGCTTTTCTACAGCTGTGGAAAAGAAGGAAGGAGGCAGGATTGGGTGGAGGGAGATGAATTTCCATACAGGAAATTTGTTGGCAAAGGAAGAGCTTTTGGAGCTGGGATGTCTTTTCACAGATGTCCTGAGTTGGAGTAAGAGGGCTTGGCCTTGAAACTCCCACGTTGATAGTCATTGGGCGCAGTCTACTTTGAGGAAGGCAGTTTTCTTAAACAGAGGCATTCCCCAAAAGGGCCAACTGCAGATGCCCGTCTTTCCCTGATACTCCCAGTGGACAGAGAAAGAAACACCATATAACCCCTTTATTCCTCGAAAGTGGGCCTGAGGAATAAGCCCATCATGGCACCTATCCATTTACCCCCATCCACTCCCACAATCTCACATTGGCACTTTTCTTTAAGCTCAGTGGCAGGCTGCTATCTGTCTCTCAATGCCCCTTTCTAAACATTTTTCTTTAGGAATACTCCTTCCTCCCCATTACATTTTCTAGCCTCTCTGCACTAGATGTGCTTATGTTACTAAGTTTTAGGCACTCCATGTGATAAAAAGCGATATTCTCAACTGCCAGATTGGTATCCAGAGGAACTGGTAGGCCTCCTGTGTCTCCTCCTTTCCCTCCTGATTCCTGGAAGGCAGACAGGGTGATGGGAGCTGGAACAGCTCATTCGTTCCATGAGGTGAAGGCTGGTGCAAAGGATTGCACAGCAAGAAGCCAGCAGGTGTGTAGGGCCTCCCTACCAGCTCTGGACTGCTCATCATGGGGAGGAAATCTTCACTCTTCTTTAAGCCTCTGGTATTTTGGTCATTGTTACATCAGCTGAATTTGCGTATCCTACCTAGCTCAAGCTTTTTCTCTCCATTTCTCTCAACATTTTTCTCTCCATTTCCGTATACCTGTGTTTTACCAGTTGTTCAAATGCTACCTCCTCCATAGAATTTCTTTGCTCTCCTCCCTACACCCCTAGAGTGGGGATGTCGAGGTGGTTCCTCTGTTGATTTTTCATAATTATTTATTTGTATTTTCCTTACCAAGGGTGACACTTTCATCATAAATGAAATTCTTTCCCTATTCCTTAGCCCTTTTACCAAGCTGTAATATCTGGTAGGATATCTGGGCATAACATTTTCTGACCCACCATGTGCAGCAAAGAGTCTTTTACTTGGTGGATATCTTTACTACTTGTCGACTGAATGAAGTTCTTTTTAATATGAGATTCGAAGTGGCATTCCTGTGACTTTTCACTCATCAGTTTTGTAACAGAAAACTGTTTCACTCATCAGAGGTAACAGAAAAATCCCGTTTCTTCTCACAATGACTCCTAGAGACATTTCAAACTGCTTAACATATTCCCTCTCAGGTGGAGTGGCCTACGAACAAATTTTCAGCCTTCCCTTGGGTCTTGTGCACACACACCCACTCTCTCTTGTTCTAACAAAAGGCTAGAATTTACATTTAGAGAGTTAAGGCTTTCCAAAACAGATCTCCTGGTGGTGACAATAAATAATGGTTCCAGCAGCACTCCCAGCAGAATCAGCTCATAAAAGTAGGCAGCAAGAGATTCTCTCTGAGGATCTACTGCTCCTCCCCTACTGCTCATGTTTTGGTGCCATAAGTGCTATTTTCCATGTTCTCTTGGGTCCAGAAAAGGATTCAAACTCGGACTGCCGGTGGCATGATTATGACCCTGGCACTTACTAGAATGGTGATTTCAAAAAAGGTGCTAAACCTCTCCAATTGTGAATTTTTTCAACTACAATTGGCTATAACACGGTGGTGTGCTCTGTAGTCCCAGCTACTCGGGAAGCTGAGGTGGCGGGATCCCTTGAGCCCAGGAGTTTGAGGCTGCAGTGAGCTATGATCATGCCACTGCGCTGAAGCCTGGGTGCCAGATTGAGACCCTGTCTCAATAAATAAATAAATAAATAAATAAATAAATAAATAAATAAAATGGGAATAAAAAAGGGCAATAAAGTGATGTAATTAGAGGATGGGCTCTGGATCCTAAAATACCTGGGATTTCATCCCAGCTCTACCACTAACTGGAGCTCCCATGTTCTCTGTAGAGAGCTTTTTAAAGCTCTCTAGAAAGCTTTAAAAAGATCAGGAAAGGCTTCACGAAGGAGGTAGTACATATTTGAAGTGACACTTGGGGATGCATAGGAATTTGACTGGGCTTTGGTGGGCAAAAGCAGTCTTCCTAGTAGTATAAACAGGTTAAGCCAAAAACCAAGAGGCTAGAAAGTACTTCTTTGCCCTAAACATACTGTCCCACCCTCTTTTGAAGCCAGCAGAACATGGCACATGGCGTGCGCGTGCACACACACACACACACACACACGAGCAGGGGAGACAACACAAATCCTCTGCAAGAACTACTGGCTGCCTACTTTGTAGGCTGCTTTTGTGTTCATGGGAAAAACCAAGAAAATGATGAGTTCAAGAAATTTACAAATTATTAATGGAGATTATAAAGTGGTGATGATATTGATTTCAATTTTCTTCTTTAAATTTTTCTTTTTCTCACGTTTTCTCCAATAAACATGTAGGATTTCATAATTATCAGAAAACAACAATTAAAAAAATAAACAGTTGTTCCTTCCTGCTGGATTTTTCAGCTTCTGTATTTCTTGGATCAGGAATCCTTTATTTCCCTGGATCCAGTATATTACGTGGGGCCTCTGGATTAGCTAGATCAACTAATTCATCCCCATCTCCAATTATCCTTGAGAATCGAAGACAGAAAGGAACACTGTTTTAAGATTTATGCGGACCTAGTCAGGTACTTCTGGTTGCCAGGTAGCAGGCAACCAAAATCAACCACAGCATTTTCTCTAATCACTGGCTCAGGATCCAGGCAGCCACTACACTGCCTTAGTGAACATCGAGACAAAGCCTCAATGAGCAATGCAGGAATGCTCCTCAATTTGAGGAATGAGCCTCAATTTGCCAATATAGGTTTAGTTCATCTCCCATAAATGAGCATATCTGAGTAAGCTTAGTTATTACACAAAGCACCACCGTCACGAAGTATCTTTAGGCAGGCTCTCTTTGATACTCTGTGGCTTTCAGTGACTGCTTCCTATCCACACAAAACAATAGTTAAGTCAACACTGTAAGTGGCAATTCATAAGAACGTCTGCCTGAGCCTTCACATGGCACCCTGTAACCCTGACTGGAAGCAAGTCCATGTCTGCATACTCACTGGAGCTATCAGCTGATTTCAGAGGGCAGACATAAAAATGTCCTATTATCTTATGTAGAAGCTACCCCGCTAGGTGCCAGTAGACCCAATCCTATGTGACGTCAGGTTCTGTTTTCACCATCTTGATCCACAGTGTTTAAAAAATATGAATGAGTTTTACAATTTTTTAAAAGGAAATTTCATATAAAAGCCTGGATTTCTGGCTTCTCTAGAAAAATAAATGGAATGGGCAATGACTGGGCCACTTTTCCTCATAGTGACAATTGTCTGGAGCTGAGTAGAGGCTGCTCCCTTCAGGACAAGGTGTACGGTCTCCAACTCAGTTCAGCCTCCCTCAGCCCTTGTCTCCTCCATTGCCCTGTTCAGCTCATTTTGGTAACTGACTGGCTCCTGTAGACTTTAGCATTTGTGACCTTTGATTTGTAGCCATTTCACCTATATAGGAAAAGCAGTTTAAAGCTATTGCATACAATCCATTTGCTATCTCTATAGGAGTTACAATGGCTCTACAAGGCTGTGTCTGTTGCTGGAAAACAGAGGCCTCCCTGATGTCATTTATAATCCAAGTTACCTTTTTCTGTCCTTACCCTGAGTTATAGGCCTAAAGAAGCAAGAACCTCTGCTGCAACCTCATTTACCTCCTGAAGACTGGAAGCTATTTAAAGCTCCAAAGAGATCTGAAGAACTCTTCATATACTCTTGATCATTCAGAGAGATTTTGTTTTGTTTTGCCTTGTTTTTGTAAGACCAATTGCTTTACTTGGCGAGTTTGGCTTTCAATAATCATCACAGTCAGATAAATGTTCTCCTAAGGGTGGACTCCATGGGGCCACAAGTACAGTCTTTAACAATCACACCAGGACACGTGTGTGTGCACATGCAATCAACTGCTAAAGGAGCATCAGCAGGAAATCTGTTTTCATGTGAAGATTCAAGGCATTTCATTTCTCTCCAGAAGTCATATACATGGCCAAAAACTTGTTCTAGTCAAGGAGTCAGAGCTGTGGATGGGCTTCTGAAAAGATTGAGGAATGATAACCTTCTCTCCAAAGCTTAGCAGATAGACAAATGCTAATTTTGGTTCACCAGAAGCTCAACTATACTTAGAAAATGATGTTGACCCCTAATTAGTGGAAGGATATATTAAATGATGCTTTAAAAGCTTTTATTGTTCTTCTTACCCACCCCCTCACTCCAGACTGAGATTAGCTAGGAATTTTTATGCTAAGAAAATATTAGAGGTTCACAGCCCAGGTCAAGAAGCCCTCTTTGTCATTACTGACAGTCTCATACACTTAAGACTGATCCATCATGAGCACATCGGTGGAAAACTGTCTAAAAATATAAGGTTTTAACAGAGATCATAATCTTCACACAAACAAAAGACACTCAGAGATCTGGTGAGGACAATTCTGAGCATTACGGGTTGTTGTGCTTGCAAAGCATTTATGAATGGATTCCCCTAGTCCCACCACCAAAACGAGCAAGCCCTGGTTAAATCTCACAATAAGGGATCACAGTATTAGGCCCAATTGCACAGGCACAGCCTCTTGCTCAACTGCCACCTCTTCTGTGAAACTCTCCTTGACTCCAGGATCAGAGACAAAGCCTTGCTCTTCTCTTCTTCTGAAGCAACTTATATTTATGTTTATTATGGCACTTGCCACATAGCATTGCATGTTGCATCTTGCTCACAAGATTGAACTCATCATGTGTCCTTGGAGCCTGACTACTGTAGGATTCTTACAGATCAAGAGGTTGTAGAAAGGTAGGAAGGAAACAAAGAAGAGAACGGAGGAGGGAGGAAACTGAGGCTGAATGGATGGGACATTTAGCTCTACTTACCCAAGGGTCTGGGTGCCTCCTCCTGGGTCTTGCACTTGTTGCTTCCTGTGCCTTGAATACGTTTCCCATTTTGTTAGACTGGTGAATTCTTGTCATGTTTCAATATAGTTCAAAACTCACTTCTTTTGGAAAGGCTTCTGCATCCCTCGCCCACCTGCCCATCAGTGCTCTTCTTTTTACTCCCAGCACAAGAGTAGCTTTGTTTACTCATCACCTTGGGTCTAGAAATTTTTTTTTTAAACATGTCTCTTCCTGCTAAATTGTGAGCAACTTTAAGCCAAGAATTTACTTTTGTTCCTTCAGTACCTAGGAGTTCCTGGCATAGCATAGAGACATAATAAATATGCTGAATGAATAAATGAGTGAATGGAACTCCCTAACCTTTGCACATTAAACTAAAGGGCACCTATTTTACATTTTAAAAGTTACTTGGGAATTCCAGCATAAGCATATGGATTATCTACTTATTCACATCAAATTTTAACTCTAGGTTTGCTGCTCTATTATCTAGGGAGTTTCTGGGTCACCTTTCTCAGCCAGTTACTAAGGAAGCATGGAGTAGAACTCATTTCAATGTCATCCTCAAGAACAGAATGACTTAAAGGAAAACACACACAAAAACAAATCATTCATTTAAAGTCAAATATAAACAACACTCAAATACTCTAATAAGCTTTCTAATTTTAAGTATAATATTCATGCTATTTTAAAGTGTTTCTATATTTATTACATGAAATGACATGGAAACGAATGAATTATGGGTAATGGACGTAACATTTAAATAAGATTGTTGGGCCTTGAGTACAAGAGGTTCCTCTAGGGGACCTTTAAGGTGACTACAAGAGGATGAGTCAATGAGGCTACAAAAAGAAACAGGTTTGAGATCATGAGAGGTGGGCAGGAGTTTACGTTGTGTTATTAAGTTTGAGCCTTAACTTACAGGAAATGAAAAGCCCTGCAATGCTTTCATCAATGTGGTGAGATTAGTAACTGTGTGTCAGTGCAGTCGATATATGTGAGATACATGTGTCTGTTAAGGCCAAACCAAGGCATGGCAATGGGATGGAGAGGAGACATATTGAAGACATTCATGAAGAAGGGATATAATTTGGTGACCAATTCCATGGGAGCTGTGAAGAAATGCCTTCCTTAGAATGTTTTTTATAATACAATTTATATAACCAGATTTCCTTCTACTTTCTTTGTTGCTTGATTACAAATTTGGTACCAGGTCCAAAGTGTGGATGTTATTACTAGCCATCCACTCTTAAAACTCAGAAGGGAGATACTAAAAAAAAAAAATCTCTAAGCGATCCTAAGGTAGGGTTTTTTCTGATTTATAAGAAGCAAAAAATTCCAATGAATCCAATAAAACTGAATCGTAATCAGGCATATATTTATCATTAATCAGAGATTTTATTTTGTGCCACTGACTGCTTAAATTTTCAGTAAGCCTTTGGATCCATGCTAAAACTCTGATGATATCAGGCACATGGCCATTTAATCAGCACTACAAGAGGAAACAGAAAAGGGGGTTTAAAAGAAATGATTAAAGCATAAAGCTACAACATTCTACGTTAACGAAAGTTTTAATACACATTTGACTTAAAGATGCATACAATGACTACTGAATCTCCATTCATAGGCAGCCAACAAGATACGAATGAATTTATTAATTTCAAACAAAATTTCAGGTAGTGCACTTAAAAAATTACAAAGCACTTGAAAATGGAAACTAACAATGGAAGCAACAATGACTATAAAACATGATGGGATAACTTTAAAGAAAGGGTTCAAGTATTGTTTGTAAAGTTCTTCAGACACTAGTCTTTGAAAAGTTTGTGCATTTCCCATCTTTGCATAGTAAAAAACAAAAACCACACACACCACTTGGTAAAACTCCACTGCTCTATGTGATTCATGTTTCATAACATGCACTTATGTGTACTGCTCAGTTATCTAGTAGGAGCAGCTCTAATTCAATGGGCTCATGCACTATCCCAGATGAGCAATGAAGTTAGCGCACGTCTCCTCATCCGGGTGTCATTAATTAATGCAGCAAAAGTAGAGCAGGTGAAATGGGAACTTGATCATCACTTAACACTAACTCTTGTTGGGTAACATTAAACAGTGATACACTTGTGCTGTGAGCTCAAATTAATAAAAAAGAATCTCCACGCCACAAAAATTAGCAAATGAATGGCAGGTGCAAAACAAAATACAGCAAAGAGTTTGAAACTACATAACCTAATACCATCAAAAATAATTATAATCCATTTTTACAATTGATATGGTTGCATTAACTTTCATATTCATACACACATAGCTTAAAGCTTGTGTATTTTACATATACACAAATAATTTAACATTGGAGCATAGGTTCGATTACCTATGAAATTGCCAGTGTAACAAAAAGTTACACTGACATTTGCCATATGTACATAATATTTGGGGACCACTGTGGTCTGATTTAAAACGTAACATCGCACATTTACAATGTTGTTTGTGAAATGCTTAAAAGTTAACAATAGAGATTTAATTTGTTTTGTAACCAACATGATTTTGTTTCTGTTATGTCACCAAGGTGGCTCTGGAATCTTAGTGAAATGTGTATGGTGTACTTCACAGCAGTTTAGTATCTACTAGAGAGTAGGACCCAGCAACAAGGAAACACTAAGCAATGCAGCAACAGGAAAAGATACCAAGTAATCTGAGTTTCCTCCAAGCTTCCTCCGAGCTGAAAGAGCCATTGCCAATGACTAGAGGGATGCTACCTGTGTCCTATGAAGCCAGGAGTAAGGCTGAGAGGCCTTGTAGATAGCCCTGTTATTACAAAATAAACGTACACCTAGTCCTAGAGAAAGCCCGCCTACCTGCGTAGCACCTATTACTCAGAAAGCAACAACATGATAAGATGTTTGGTGATGGTCTATTGTAGAATATAGAAATTAAAGTCTCTGCTCTATGTTTGTGGTACTTCCCCAGTTAAAGACACCTCGGGGGAAAAAAACCCCACTGTGTTAAGCAGTGCATTTTTAGGACATAATACTTTCCAAAATCAAAGTTGTAAGACGGATAACATGAATCTTGCTGAAAAGGGACCAGGAGCTAAACCTAGCAATGGATTTGGTGTCATGAAGAAGTGATGAGTAAAACTGCATGTTCTTTTCCTAAAAAAAAAAGGGGGGGGGCATTAGAGAAGTAGGGGCTCTTTGGGACAGTCTTTACTAAAGCCCATCTATAGAGGGATGCTCACTGAAGTGATCACATACCGGTTTGTACATTAAAACAAAGCCGGGACCAAATTTCTTCAGCTTATTTACTTAACATGTGACAGAAGCTATCTTGACCATATTTAGAAGAAAAAAATCAGTAAAAGTGAAGGAAACTCAGAGGGACTTGGAAAGCCCAGATTACATCTGCAAATCTGGCTGGAGGGAGAAGAACAATGTGGATTTGTATATAGTAGAATCCCATTATAATCCAGTGCAACGGTCCACTGATCAGTAAAATGCCAGAGGTCAAACAAGGTTTCTTGAAAGCACAGCACAGCATAAAAGCCTATTTTAACAATGCGGATACAAAGGTAACTGCTCCTTCTATTCCCATTACCACTTTTCCAATAGGGTTCTACCATATATATTTTGAGGCAGGAAAATGAGCATGGATGAAATATTGACACTAACAAATACAAATAAAATGGAAAGCTTAATTTTTTCCAAGCTTTTAACATTTAAAAAAATTTTTTTATTTAAGGCTTTAAGTTTATCCTCCTTTCACATTAAAGACAGGGAAAGAAAATTGTCAAAACCGAAAACCAAAATCATGAGCTTGGCACTTTTGTGATTAATCTGAAAGGGTGTCTACTTTCTTACATTATTTACATAGGTTTATAATGACATCAAAAAATTTTCGAAACTTAGTACATATATTTCCATTTACATAATTTTGTGTCTTTGATATGGGTTATTTTGTTGTTTATGTCCCCCCTTTTATTTTTGGTTTAACGCACACCAACTTTAAACTGCACGTGTTTTGTGCCCAAACTCCCTGCATCTGTGGCTATATCTGTCTTTTTAAGCAAGCCCAAGAGTCATTGTATAACACGTTACAAGAGAGAAGGACAGAGACAGAGAAAGAGAGACAAGAAACAAAAAAGATGGGGAGCAAAAAATCAACTCAAGTTTACAGAGAACCTTTACAAGGAAAATATCTCAATACAGACAAGTGAAAATGATGTGTCAAAATCTCTTATTTCCATATTTACATTTATAAAAGAACTATACAATAGCATCATTGTTCAAATTCCAGCTCCCATTTCCAAAGGATGCTCAGTCCAGGAGAAAACACAATGGGGAAAGTGAATCAACAAGAGCAAGGTCCGTGGAGTTCTGCCCTGGCCTGGTCTCCAATGGGGAGTGGGGATTATAGAGGGTGGGAGGTGGGGGGTAAGAAGTGGGGCTCCGAGAGGATGGGGTGTGGGGACATGTTTAAGTGAAGAGGCCCAGGCAGCTTCTTTGTGTTCATCTGTCATCTTCACTTTAGGAATTCTGTTGCAGGTTTTGCTGAGAATTGGCTTGCTAGCTTGTTGTATATATGCCATGCAGTTTTTACCCTTTTGAAAATTAGATCTTCATGCCACTGGAGTTTGTCATCGGTAGTAAAGAAAAAAAAATCATGCCAAATCATTTAGAAGATATTAAGTGCCAGCAGGCTGAGGGAAAAAAAATCATTTACTATTTTTTTTAATGATTCCTTTATTGCATTTAATTTTTGTGTGTGTGTTGTTCCTTCGTCCATTAGGGAAAAAAAAGATTCTGGAACAGTTCTTTTTATAGCATGGTCTTTTGCCCCCTCCCCCGTTTACTGACAGGTGGTGAAAGGTGTTCTTTGACATTATTTCCAAAAGAGACAGTTTTCTTTTACCCCATCCTTGTCACCCCAACTTTAGCTCCGTAGTCATTACCACCCAAAGGTTTTGTTTACAAACTTAATAGTTCCAGTAACACTGCTGCGAGTATGTCATACCCAGAATCCAACAGTGCAAGGCGGTGTCCATCCAGCGCAGCTGATTCAGATGGGGCCTTGCTGAGTAGGATCGAACCTTCTCTTCTTGACATTTCTTCCAGAGTGAGTCAAAAGAAGATGCAAGCAGAGGGGGAAAATCCACAATATTAATCAGATGATGATGACAGAATGGTGATGATAATGACAATAATGCTAGTTCCAGAGCAAAGTAATTAACTCACATGGAGGCAGTCTCCAAAATAACTTGAAATTGAAAGACAGAACAGCTAATGTTTTTGAATGTCTTCACAACATACCCCCTAGAGTATGTCCTTTGGTGAAGACCAAACAAAACTTTGGGTTGTTTATTTTAAATCACAGGAAGACTCTGCGGCCCAATTTGTCTCTTATTTCAGAAATAATCACACTGCTAATTCATTAGGTGAAAATTATTACAGGAAGGCCTCTTCCATGAAGGAGCCTATTGGGAGAACTAAGAAAAATGGAAAGTCTCATAGCTACTTCCCTTCAGGCTTATAGCAGTTCTATAGCAGTGAACTGGCCTTTACCAAGGTGGCAAAAAAGCCTCGCTTTTTTCAGTTATCTTGCTGCCTTGGGTGTGTGAGCTCTTACTCCACTATAGAACAAGCATTTTTTATATCTAGAAAGTTGAAAAACAGAGTGCACAGTAAGACAGTACACTCAAAGGAGAGTGGACACAGGTTCAGGTTAGTTAAGCAAATGCAGAATTTAGCTTAGTTGAAAATCGGCAAGTTAAAATGCTTTGCTCACAGTGTCCAGTCTCCTAAAAAGTGGCTCCTATGTTTAAAGAGAAAAGAAAGAACCAGCAAGACACTACAAGGCAACAGTAAAAGTTGGTTGCAACCTCCCCATGGTCTGGCTTTATGTGGGGCATCAAGCAAGGGGCTCATGCATTTAGTCTGCATACTGGGCGGGTGCAACGCTACTGCCACCGAGGCATCATGCAAAACTGGAGACTGAGGAGTCCCCAAAGCCCTCACTCCCCTGCCCACCGACTGAGGGCCAGCTGGATACCCTTACAGGCCCTAAGTATCAAAGCCATTGCGATATATTCCTCCTCCCCCACAAGTAATTCAAAATAAAAACAATACCAAAGCTCAAAATAGGTATAAAGGCATCCTGCAAAGTTCTTATTTTTCCCAAGATGGTCACTTTGATGCTTCTCTTTTGAAATATCAACATAAAAGTCTTTAAAGAAAACTTGTCTTTTCTTTTTAAAGTTTACATTAAAACGTCTTCATGAGTGACCTAAGTGTGTGACTCATTGGCCTAGCAGGTAACCATTGCAGCCAACACTATCTGCAACAATGCTGTTTACTTTTCTTCATCATTCCCACCCAGCCCTCTTTTAAGTCAACATTCTTGAAAGCGGGCACTGCTGATGCTGCCCAAGAAACCAATGTGAAACCAAAAGGCAAGTATCCCATAATGCATCCTCCACCAAGTTAGTTTGCTGCAGAGCACAGGGTCTCCATCTGCCACCTATGTTCATATCCCTGGAAGGTAGAGGTTTAAGGAGCCATACTCTGTGAGTCAGGGAGGAAAAACAGAGACTGCCTGACCTTGTGAAATGACCCTGAAGGACAAGAGGCCCCAATCTTGTGAGCTATGTATTGCTAGAACTCAAGATAAATGTTAAACTAAATTTCCTCAGTAAATCCAAATGTAGAGGAAAGGGCAAACCAAGCTAGCACTGTGCATGTTGCCCACATCTAAATTCCTTTATTCAAATTCGGGAATGACCGATAAGTAGCCATGTCCAAGGTCGTAACAGCAATGCAGTCCACTTTTAAATGGAGATAGGAAATTCCATTTCAGCCTGGCACACAGACAACCGCTGGTGTCCAAAAGCTTGTGCTCTTTTTAAAAGCTGGTTTTTGAAGCTTAGGTTGCACCTTTTTGCAGAAATATTGCTCTACAGGATCACTGGGTTCCCAGGCCAGACAGAGAGGCTGAGCCATCCTGCAGAACTGTATCTTTCTGGATGAAAATGGACTCTGAACACCAATGGGGCATTCCAGGACCTTAGCTCTTCCACTGATGTCCCAGCAGGGGGAAAGTGAGCTCCTCTACAAGGGAGGCCACACTGCGATGAGGACAGAGATGAACACTCCTGTGGCAAGCGGACTGTGAAGGTGCCTCACACATAAATTGTAAAACCATCACAGTCACTGTATGTTGAGAACGGTCTGAATTTTCTCTATGAAAAAAATATTCTTTCAGTTCAATTTTAATGTGAAAGTACAACTACTGCGGGCAGGTCCTTGCTGACTTTCTTCATAACGGTTTCCTCTGAATACCCTCCGCTCACTAGGATTCTGAAGGTAATTAACTTTCTCATAACCTGTAAGGTATTTCTGGATCATTATAAAACACTAGCATAATCCATAAAGCTTACATTTTCACAGCTTTCATCCATTTTTACTACTTCTGAAATAATCTGGACTTTTGTCTACAATATACATTATACACATAACATCTACACAAAATTAAAGCAAGACTCTTTCAGTAACAATAACCGTCTCAGAGCCGTAAAGCCTTTAGTTCTTCTTTCAAGGGCATATATTTATCCATGGTTAGCACATTCTTATCATTCTATGCTGAGTCACCCCCTGACGAAGTGTCCCTAGCCCAACCCCTCCTAGGCCACCATACACTGAGCTCACTTCCCTGGGGCGCTGGGGCAGGGAAATGCACCGATCTTCCTGGCCAGCCTGGTACCATGAAAGAGAAAGTGCCTAACCCAGGAGTCCCAGGCATTAAGGGAATCAGGCTTCTCATTTTGAACTGGGATACAGTCATGGAATTCAAAAAAACAGCAGTCTGGTTATCCTCCTCGTGGAAAGACTAGCCAAATTTAATTCAATTTCCTAATTCAATAAAAATCAAAAGGCCCCCACAAAAAATGGTGTTTACTCTTTTGAGAAAATATAATTAACAATATTAAGTTCCTTTCAAATTTTATCTGACTTGACATTCAGATAACTCTTTTTTTTTTTGAGACAGAGTTTTGTTCTTGTTGCCCAGGCTGGAGTGCAATGGCGCAGTCTCGGCTCACTGCAACCTCCGTCTCCCGGGTTCAAGGGATTCTGTCTCTGCCTCCCGAGTAGCTGGGATTACAGGCGTGCACCACCATGCCCGGTTAATTTTTGTATTTTTAGTAGAGACAGGGTTTCACCATGTTGGCCAGTCTGGTCTCGAACTCCTGTCCTCAGGCGATCTGTCCACCTCAGCCTGGGATTACAGGCATGAGCCACCATGCCCAGCTTCAGATAACTCTTAACTTTGCTGGTAATAGTCTAGATATAGCTCTTTTTCATTTTGTGTGAGTACATAAACAGCCTTTTCTTTAACATGTCCAATAAAATGGAACGTAGGCCAGACAGAATCTCTTAAATCCAGAGTCAGGCTCAGAAGAGCTTTTAACACAAATAACTTCTCAGAGAGAAGGAATCACGTATGATAATTACACAGACTTATTAATATTAAATTAACACTTTTAATGTAAGGAGTAGCTATGCCAGGCCAGTATGGCCACTGATGAAATCCACTTTGCCACTGAATCCCATGGACAGGGCAAGTAGCGGGAGAGTAAGACGTGGTGATGAGGTTCTACAGACTGAGGTGTTACGGTATCACTGGAAAAGCTCAGTGTTCATCCTGTAGTCCTTTTGATTTCAATTTTCAACAAACCATGTCACTATTACCTTCATTTCTTTTCCTACCATCACCTAGAATTTCTCTTTTCCTACCACCATCACCTACTAATGTGCATGTAAAACCCTACATTCAAATTTAGGGAATATCAGATAAATAGCAACGCCTAAGGTGCTGAAGACAATCCTGTTCACTTTTAAATGGAGATATGAAATTCTCTTTTCATATACTTTTCACCTTTCCTAAGCTTTAGGGAAGATGCTACTAAAATGGTCCTGCTTTTTCTAATGTCCAGTAAAAGCAACAGCTCTAACAGTCGAATCAAGCAGTATCATCATTTAATGTTGGGTAGGTGTCATGAGTCTCCATGAGTCAACTAGGACAGAGGTTTGCAATCCTCTGCACCACAGCTCATAACTTTATTCTTGTGTGTGGGTGATGGGGAAGAACAGGAGCATGGGGTGAATGAAAATAAATGCAGATATAGAAGTAGAGCAAATTGGTGTGCCACATGCCTATGTTCGTTTTTCACAGGATTTCATAGAGAAATTCCTAAGACCCTCAATACCTGGGACTCTACGACTAATCATACCCTTAGTAACCTCATACTTCTGGAGTATGAAATTAAGCAAAGTTGGCTGGGCACAGTGGCTCATGCCTGTAATCCCAACACTTTGGGAGGCCGAGTCTGGCGGATCACCTGAGGTTGGAAGTTCCAGACCTGCCTGGCCAACGTGGAGAAACCCCATCTCTGCTAAAAATACAAAATTAGCTGGGCGTGGTGGCGCATGCCTGTAATCCCAGCTGCTCAGGAGGCTGAGGCAGGAGAATCGCCTGAACCTGGGAGGCGGAGGTTGCGGTGAACTGAGATCATGCCACTGCACTCCAGCCTGGGCAATAAAAGCAAAACTCTGTCTCAAAAAAAAAGAAAAAGAAATTAAGCAAAGTTACTACCCATAACATTACACAATATGTGACAATATTTTTTAAAAATCTACCAAATAAAACATTTAAAAATTCTTCAGGAAATCCACAACCTTGCTTGTGGAAGTCTTGCTTGCATTAACCAAAGCGGTCTGACTCAACTAATCTACTAAAAGGAAGTATGTAATTTAAATCAGTATTATTTTCAGATTATAATAATCTTGATACATCTTTATTATCACTTCACACACACAAATGTGCACACATTCACATACATGCACACATTTTCATGCTTTTTACCACCTATTTCAGAGGAAATAATAGTTTAAGGAAAGAACTTTAAAGAATGGCAGACAAGGTCAGGGCTTAGAGCATAGCTGTATTTCTCATTTATACTTGGGCAGGTCACGTATAGTATGATACTTCTACATCTAAACTACTCACTAGTACACCTAAAGAAATGTGACATTAGGAAAATATAGTATTTTCCCTGAGTAGTTACTGTATTTTCCTTTAATCAAAAAGTTGACATGCCCTCAAATTGTTCAGGTTACCTTACCAACTTTTCTTCTAGAAATAAAAACCTGGTATCAGGAGGGATTCCCAATAGCAGCATTTAGAACAATCTTTTGTACAAACTATTTTCAACTTCTGATTCTAAAGGAATTTCTTTTTAAACATTTACATTGAACTCAAACCCAAAGGCTTTCAGTTCAAATAGCAAATAATTATACTTACGAATTATCTCCAGACTAGTAATCTCCAGAACTGTCCAAGTGGTGGGAAAATCTAAACATTATCATTCAGCACCAAAAGCCTTTTATTACAAGGTAGAAGTGTTATTTAAAGCTGAACACAAACCACACAGTTACTACTAAAATCTAAAGCAAATTAAGGTCCTCATGTAGCAACCAACAGTCACCCAGGAGTAGCACATTCTCCAAATTTAAACTCCTGAAGTTACATGTTCTGGAATTATTCTTAGTCTTCATCGTTTTCTTTGCTTCGGGGCATGAAATACTTCACCCTATTGTGTGTCTTTCTACACAGTTCTCCCTGAAAGTGATTATCAGAGTTACAGGGCACAGGAAGGGGCTTTGACTCAGCTCAGCAGTACAGGTCCCTACACAGCAACAACCAGGCAGCAGTCAGCAAAGGCTGTTTCTCATCTCACTAAGTGCTGATCCCCCACCTTTTGTTTTCTGTTCTTGTGATAACGAGATCTCTCTCTCTCTCAGATATAAAGAATCTTTACAGGGCCTAATCCACTTATATACACAGTGATAAAGGCTTTTCCATTTTTCCCCAAAGAAACATGCAATTCAAGCTGTGAGCTAGGCCAGGCCACTGTTTTGAGGTCCTGCTACAGAATAGTGTGCTCTTCTCTCGAAACACTGCAATGATAAATTTGGCATTGCATATGGCTAGACGGCAAAGACGTGTAATAGACTGTTTTCCAGGCCTTTGAAACCGGGATTTCTTAACGCCAAATGAGGCATAAGCCTGGGCATGATCCAGATTTATTTTTCTTGAGGCATACTAATGAAAAAGTTCAAGGAAGCATTATAAAATAATAAGAGTATGGCAGTACTATAATGTTCAATGACTTTTTTGTAGCAGTGGAACACTAAGAAAAGTTTTGCTTGAATTAGGTCCGCCCAAACGAAAACATATTTCTTACTAGATGCCACATGCGTGACTCACTATGTGGGCAATATTTTATTAATACCAAAACAATAAATTTAAATATGAGTTGTCCATTTTATGAGTGTGTTTTTGAAAACACACTGATGCCAAGACTACATTACTAAACAAGTTCAACTCTACAAATATACCGAGAGAAAAGACGTATAATTTTATAATACTATTTCAAGTTAAAGGCACTCCAAAACTGTAGACTTACTCAATAAATCTTAATATGATAACAAATTAGCAGAAAATGTTGAATGTATTTAAATCATCTTTGGTTTCTTTAATCAGCTTCTAAAAATAACACTTTAACTGGCTGAAACATATTGAATTCAAAATCCCAAATATAAAACATATAAAGTTTATAATTAAGGCAATTATTCAGATAGTTCAGGGCAAAAGCTTCCTCTTTTGAGTAACCAGATGCAGGCAAAGTGGGTTTTGAATTTGGGTAATGGTCTTATTTCCCACTTAAATTTGTTTCTGTGAATCTGGCTGAAAATTTATCACAGGAGGCACAGGAGGGCTTACCTACAAATCATAATCATCAACTCACTATAGCATGAAAAGGTATAAAAAGCAATTATCCAATGATTCTGGAGTGTAGAAATAGCCAGCCTGGATAAATCAGCTTTAAAAATTTTGATCACAATTGAAGTTTATTTGTGAATACCCAGTGTGTCTATTTAAACAATCTTAGTTCAGTAAGCAGTGTGCAATCCAAACTAAAAGGTCACTATGAAAACACACCAGGCCTACCTGTCAGGTCAATATTTAGTCCTTGATTAGAAAATACTAAGTGTCACAAAGCCACATTTTTCAAATTCTGATTTAAAACCAATTCAGTTGGTCGAGGATTATACAAATACTTTTAAAATCTGTTTTCATTAAACTATAAAGCTTTTCAAATCACAAAGCTACATATACTATGTTACATATGAAAAATACAAGTAATGATTGCATAATTACTTAGGTTGTGAAAATTTCAAAATATCAGTGGACTACAAACAAGTTTTAAACAGATACAAGCAATTTACATCCACTTATTTCCAACTACATGGTTTCCTCGATTTCCTGTGTAGAAATGAATGTATCTCAGAGTGCCTGCTCTTACAAGCTGGACTGTCTTCTACCAAAGAACTTCGTTGTTCTCCTTAAAAATCAGTGTATATGAATTCCTTCTACATTTCCACTTGCCTGAAAATGACAGTTGAGGGTCCGTGTTTCTTCATTTCTAACCCATTTCTGAATAAAAAGACTTATTTTTTGCAGTTTGACTGACAGAACCTAAGCTCTTGTAGCAGGAACTCAAAACTTGGTTATGTAAGCAGAAAAGAGAAATGCCAGAGCCACTGAGAAGAAGACATGCGGCGTTGCTTACTTAAATCCCCAGCCTGTGCCCCCAAGGACAATAGCTGCTACCAGGATGGCACCAGCGATGGAGCCTATTATGAGATTGGTGGCACTAGGACCTGTGACAAAGGATCATGGGAAGAGAGTCATATGAACCAACCACTTTCGTTACCACAAGGGAAAGGCAGTTAAGCAGTTTCAGGAAGTAAATATCCTGTGTAAAAGACGGCTAAACATTTAAATTGCCTTTATTTACTTAGCTTAATTGCATTTTAGATGCTACGGTGAGCGTTGCTTGGATTTATATGCCTTTAAATCTAAAGTTTCTGCACCATTGACAATTAAGTTCCATTAAATTCACCTTTCACAGAATTTGAAGCAAATAGGCCCCACTTGCTGTCTTTACACATCCTTCTTCTCTTCCCCTCTCCCAGTATCATGTATCAAATAAGTAAAAGCACAGAGAGAACACCATCGCATTCAGACAAGCTCCATCTGACTCACAAATGGGGGCATGGAGGAAAGGAAACACATTCTGCTACAATGCCCTTCCAAAAAGCACCTAAAAGTGGTCTGAATGCTAACTTTTTAATTCCCCACTTGGAAACAGTTAAAACTTAGCAGTCAGAAGGAAGTCAATACAGATCTGACTTTTGAAGCCTTGCTCTCAAAGATACACTTCTTCACTATCCTTACAGTGGTAAAGACCAAAATGGGGTTCCAAAGGCAAGATATAAGGAAGCATAAATCTCATTTGGGTAATTTTGGGGAAATGGTAAAAAGATTCCTTAGATTCAACTGAGAATAGCTTTAAAGTTCCCATTGTTACTAACAGAACTTTCAGGCTTAGAGATATAAAAAAGCAGAGAGCCAAAGGACAGTAAGAAAGAAAAGACAAGGTGGCATTTCTATCAATTGCTAAGGGTAAGAGCTAATCCATATCCTAGTAACTCCTGTCCACTCGCTCACTCCTCTCCTTAAGCTTAGCATTTTAAAATCTAAGCAACGTTAAACCTAGTATAATAATTACTTTACATATCCCATCCTTCAGGATGCTAACATGCAGGTACAGTGTCCCCTAACAACAAAATACTTTCAGTCCTATCTATCCCTGCTCCAGGAATCACAAAGCCAATGTTGCTAGTTTCCCGAAAATCCTTGAGTTTTGTGTAAACATTCATTTCTGTGTAAAAAATTCTCTTTTCTGCTCACATCAGTGCCCTCAACTGTGTACATAAATGGATGCCACTTTTGGCAGCACACAAATTGCATGCATAATGTGTTTTTATTCGGAGACCATCCAGTGCTTGGTGGGCAGGTAGAGGACAGCTGCAATACAGTCTCGGGGTGCAGGTCTCTTTAGGCTCCTGGGCTTGTGACATGCTCTTAAGACTAACCACTGACCGTCTAGAGAACGAATCTCAGTTGCCTTTAGAGATACACCAATAATAATAATAATAATAATGAGAGCCATAAAAATAGTTTAAACAGCTACCGTATTGTGCACTTACTATGTGCTGGACACAGTACTGAACACTTGACATATAGTATCTCTTTTGATCTTTACAAAAATCGTATGAGGTGGGAACTATGACTATCCTTGTTTAATGGATGAGGAAACAGGCTTCTAGAAGTTTGTGAGTGATAGCGGCAAGATGTGAACACAGATTTGTCTGACCCTAAAACATATCCTATAAGTCAAGGGTCAGGAAACTGGAGCCCACAGACCAAATCTAGCCCCACTGTCTGCTTTTGCAAAAAAGTTTTATCGGAACATAGCCATGCACATTCATTTACATATTGTTTATGGCTGCTTTCATGCTAAGACAGCATTGTTGAGAAGTTGTTACAGACAACCCTGTAGGCTGAAAGCTAAAACTATTTACCATCTGGCCTTTTACAGAAGTTTGCTAACTTCTGTTTTAGAGAAACTTTATTCTACTTACATGTATTTCCTCCCCACAATTCAACAGAGAATCAAATTTCAAAACAAATATTAAAAAAATATATAACCATGTACATACTCTATGCTTTGGATATGATTTGCACTTCGTCCGCTTCAGAAAACAGGCTAGGATTAGAATCAACACATAATTCATGAAAAATGATTCCTGACTTATAAACTAAGGAGAAATTAAAAAAAAAACTGTCCATGGAATTCTTAGTGACTGAATGAACATTACTCTATCAATTAAACTAAGAAATGTTGAGACAATCTATATTGTACTACATTATTTTTTAAAAAACTATATTTCTTGAGCAATTATGCTAAAACTTGGAATTTGATGGGGAAAAAAATCAGTAAGCTAAGAGAAAACTAGTGCTCATAAACCAGGAATAATAACAAATCTATCTTTAGAAAAAATATACATACACTTACACAGACTTACCTGTCACAATTAGAAATAGTCACAAACGAACAAAACTGGAAATGATTGATGAAAACAAATGCTGATAACAAGGACTATGTTTTACAAGAAAGGCCTCTTTGATTTTTACCTATCTCTAAGACTTCAAGGAAGGATTATTAAAATTCATCCTTTCAATTAGTACATTTAAGGACACCAAAGTTACAGCCAATGTATAATGTTAAAAAATGCATTTGGGATGATTTTCAGAAAACTACCATTTGTCAAGGAGGAATTTCACATAAATGCATGCATGGAGCTGGCCCTGAAAAAGGAATGTTTCTTCTGTATACAATCCAGTCAACAGATCCAAGGGGAAATTTTACAGGACAAAGTTTTTGTCTCTAAATATTTTTATCCCTGTTATGGTCTTTGTTTTCTAATACACAAGGAGAAACAAAATCTCTTTTCTAGTATTTCTAGCTTCCCCTGTGCTAACCAGCTTCACAGTCCATAGAGATGAGATGTGAGTTGGAAGATCTAAGTCTGGTCAAAGTCCTTGAATCCAGGAGAAAGAAGGCTCATGTCATCTTCAACACAAGGTGTGAACTATGAACCTGCTTCCCTCTTAATGCTATTTTGGTCCCCGGGTCTCCCAATTCCAGTGTGTAAGAGGAGCACCCATTTGTTCTAACTAATGGGACTATAGAAAAACATATCTGATATTCACAATAAGCCCATGATTTGGGATGGGTGAGTCAAAGATATCTAGTGATTCCTGAAGATACTAGTAATTCATTCCTGGGCCACTTTGAAGTGTTACCACCACCACCACAGTAGACAGAAAAGACTGTGTAAAGGGTTATGTCTGCCATTCTTAAATATTCTTTTTCTAATTAGAGAGAGAAGAAAAAAATCATGATAATATTTTAATCTACAGATTAGCAATCTCAGGAAGCAATGTGCCCTGGAGAACTGACAGCTATTCTGAGGATGTGGATCAAGTACAGAGCACCCTAAATCAAAGCATCAGGAGAACTGTATTTCTGTGACAGCTTAATGGGCAAGTGGCACACAATATATTTATTTACACCCTGGCTACTTTTAAGACGAACCCACCAGGTGATTTGCAGCTGTTCACTTATGGTTATACAGGTTTGGATTAAATATTTTTTCATTCTTAATGCTCCTTGCTTCCAAATATTTATGTAGACTTCAATTTTGAATTATTAACCTATTTTATAGGAAAAATAGGAAGGCAGTATGCTAAATATCTTCTTTTTAAAAAATTAAGCTGCAGCCTCCTATATCATTCTAAATAAATGAAGAAAACATTAGTAGCTATCATTTTTATTACCTTTAAAAGGTCCTATAACTGTTGATAATTGCTAGTTATATATGTAAATTTATTTGACTGGCACAGATTAACTTTATTACAAGAATCCTAAGAAAACACACATATAAAAGCATTTTTGCCAATAAATGGTTTAAAAAAAAGTCTGTATTTTAAAATTACTTCTACAAAGTGGAGGAGCAATGGAAGTGTTGGGACTATTGCCTTAATTATGAAGATATCGGAAGCACACCCAGTGTTATGTTATGCCCCACATTGTTCCAGACAGGAGAAGGTTCTACATGACACAAGAAAACCACAGGACACAAGCAACATCCAAGTCACACCACAAGGTGCACTACCACAGGAAACACGGTCAACAGGACGAGACATGGAGTCAGGTACAGGCATCGCCTCACACATCAGGCACCACACAGAAACACTCTGAAACTGGCAAGGATGCTTACTCTATTCCCCACCCTGTGCCTCCAAAAATCACCCCCAGGGCCAGAATGGTGCCGGCCACGGCCCCTATTAGCCTGCTTGTGGCCATATTCACTGTGTGGAGGGAAAATGGAGATTTTTTAACAAAGGAAATTACATACTAATTTCACTAACATACAAAATAATCTATTCAGGACATGCTTTGAAAGTTGGCTAAATATTGAATTTTTTTGCTATAAGATTTGAAATTAAGATCTACATACACATTGAAGATATTTGAGGATAACTGTGAATTTACCTTCAAATTCTGCACACCCTACTTTTAAAAAACATAATTATCTTATACGTACTTATAAATACATAAATAATTCAATTTGTTATAGTTCCTACCAGATGTGAGGTAAAATTAAAAAGTAATTTAAATTGCATAACAGCAAATCTGTATTTTAATTACAAAAGTAATGAACCATTAGTAATTGTTTATAAAATTCTCAAACTGTAAAATATGCCTAAGAAGCTACATCTTTTCAAAATTCAGAATATATCATTCAGTTTTGCAAAGATCCTTACAAATTCAAGACAGAATAGCTTTAAAAGTAAATACATGTTTACCTGGGAAGTTATTGAAAAGCGTATTTCAGATAAGTCTGCAATATTTGGATTTCTGTCATAGTATTTAGACATTTTGTTTTTTGTTTATTAGTAGTCTCAAGTGGATAAACTTATAGAAAGTTAGGGTCTCTGGGAAACCGTATTAATTGCTTCAGACCACCAAGTGGTAGATGACTATCAGAGTGAGAATCTGAATAACTTTATGTCACTGCTTCTCTGTGTACAGCTTTCCAATCCTGGAAAATGGGCCTGGAATGAGTGGAGGTCCCCAAGGTTCCCGCTACAAAGGCAAAATGAAGTTTGGTGTTAAAGTTGGAAGACACATTGTTTGCAGTTGTGTGTCTGTGCCTGTGTGCACACAAGTGTGTGGACATACATACACTTTATTTCATATTTCTATAGGAATCAAAAGGACTGGCTTCAAATTACCTTTCCCATGAAAACAGAGATTAGCTTCAACAAGGCTGCCCTTCACATGTATTGTGTGCTCTGAGACAGTGAAACGAAACAAAGATCCACGACTCAAAGCCACCATTTTTTAAGGCTTACAATTGGGCTCACTGACATTTTTAGCTAAATATTTTCCCAGAGGAAGAGAAAGAATCTTGGATTTCTAACCCTGTTAATTAACTGTATACTGCTTTATCTTATCACAAGATAATAATGTGAGGGAGAAATTCTAGTTTTATCATTGACTAAGCACAACCTGGTTTCTTAAAAAACAAACAAACAAAAAGATGGGGACACAACAGAGAACAGAAAAGTCCCCCGAGAGTGTTGAAGGCTAAGGGAAGAAGACCAACACAGAAGGTGGCAGCAATGTTTCCCCACTATGACAATACATTAGAACTCAAAACCACCTGAACTACTCCGATTTTCAAGTTATGGAGGCAAACACTGGGACTGAAAGGTATTCAAAATATGAAGCCTCATTTTTAAAAAGACCTTAGAAAACCCTTGCTTTCAGAATACTAAATTAACTGATATACATTATTTTATAACTTTTTTTTCTTTTTTCTTTTTTTTGAGATGGAGTCTCGCTCTGTCGCCCAGGCTGGAGTGCAGTGGCATGATCTCAGCTCACTGCAACCTCTGCCTCCCGGGTTCAAGCAATTCTTCTGCCTCACCCTCCCAAGTAGCTGGGACTACAGGTGCGCACCACCACACCCGGCTAATTTTTGTATTTTTAGTTAGAGACAGGGTTTCACCATATTGGCCAGGCTGGTCTCGAACTCCTGACCTCGTGGTCTGCCTGCCTCGGCCTCCCAAAGTGCTGGGATTACAGGCATGAGGCCACCGTGCCTGGTCATAACTTTTTTTTTTTTTTTTTGGCTTAAGTTTCAGGCATTGGTTCTCAGAGCTGCAATACATGACAGTCCTATGACTTCTGCAATTTTTATATAAGCCACATATGCTTAAAAATACAAAAAACCCTCTCCCATAAATTGTGATACTAAATGAGTGTTAATTTTTTAGAAATTGTAAGAACTATATGAAAGATAAATAAAAATAATTTAAAAAGACTTTTGTCTTTGCTATGGATGTAATTTCTCACTGCAGAAACAAGACAAAATCATGTAGGTTTTAGAAATACAACCGGAGGACGAGACATTTCTACAGAGGCTTCAAGTGGGTATTCAAGATGAATAGATATATTCTGTAATCTCCAATGAGAAAGAATAATTTCCTCCACATTATTAGCTGGTAAGTACTCTTAACGCTAAAGCAAGTTAAAAGTGGGAAAAAAAGCTTTTTCAAAAGCATCCCTACCCTCCCTGTTCTCTCTCCCTCCCATTACTTTGAGTGACACAGTATCCTGCAAATACATGTAAAGTGCCATTTGATTCTTTGTCATTGTACTGAACATGGTTGTCTCTTAAAGATGTGAAGATTTTCTTTTTGTCGATTCTGCTTTGCTTTTGTTCTCTTCCTTTAGAGAGTGCTGAACTTTGTTTTGGCAAGTAGGAACTTGTGCATCACCTTGACATAAATTAACTGAGTAGCTCACGGGTGGGTGGATTTTTATAGGGGACATATTTGAAAACAAAGGTTGCAGCTGCTTTTCATAGCTACAAAGAATTTATCATCTCATTGAAAAAAATTCTACTTCTACACTAATTTATCTATTCTGTAATTTATTCATTAATTCATTCATTACCTACTAAATACCTTTTTTTTTGTTCAAGGAACTATGCTGGACACACGATGATATATCTTATTTTCCTTCTCATCCTACCAAACCTGGAGATGGAACGCTTAAAGCTTCTAGCTGACAACACAATCCTTTTATTAGGAACTTAACTTTGCTCCCTAACTCTTTGATACACTTACTTTTCAGTATAATGTGTTTGTGGAATCTGTTTATTACCTAGCAGAATGTTTTCATTTTTGTTTACTTGCTTATTTCCATTACTTGTTGGTTTATTATTATTTTCAGTCTTGGTCCCTGCTACCTAGGTTTACTTGTGCTAAAAGACAGAATTTTTGGTAAGTATAAAATATCAAAAACTATAAATTTTCTCCTTTTCTTAAGATTTTCTATTTTATATGTAGAATTCCTTTATAGACATGTCATGCTTCAGACATTTTGAAAATGTGCTGTTTTGAAATTGAGTGGGTTTTTTTCCTTATTTTTAGAGAGTTTCTCAAATAAGAAGATGCATTATTTCCCCCAAGTGATTCCAAAGGGGGTTAAAATCCTGTATCTTTTGATACTTCACAGGCAGGAGGCATCAAAGTCATCATTTGTATTCCATGGACCAAAGTGCTTTCTTCAGGGATTTATTATTCCACTACCATTCAAGACAAGAAAAGTAAATACTAAATAAACTCTTTATATACTAGTGTATAATATTGGTATGTAGCTCCATATTTCAATACATTATACATACAATCAGATCTCCTTACTGTTTTCCATAAAAGAAAAAAACAAGTTCATTTTTAGATACATGGACAAATGTCTAAAAGGATGCAAAATAAATGATTTCATGTAAGAATATATTTCAGTTTATGCTGTCAATGAAAATAGGGTTTTTCTGAACTGAAACAAAATAAATTCAGTTATTAAAAAATTTTTAAACTTGATATATCCTTGGGTTATTGATAAGGCCATTGTTATTTGAGAAAAATATCCAGGTAGCACATAATTATACATGAGCATAATCATATATGATAAGGATAACTTCTCATATCTAATCATCTAAACTATAAAATCAAAGATTTGTGCACTGACGAAGACAGTCACCAAAAGGATATATTGCAAAAGGTAAATGTAAACACTAAATACTCCTCAAGGTTAATACCTCAGAAAATAAGACTTCAAAACTATTATTTTAAAAATACTAAATGATAATAATATAATACTTCCTTTCTTATCTAATTCCATAAAAAGCATCACTGACAATAATGGATCAGTTAATAAGCTTGATTACTACCTGGTTATTGTTTCACTTTCTGTTTACTATTGTGCTATGAGAACTAGCAGAATAACTTAATATTCAGCTTTTTTTTTTTTTTTTTGAGAAGGGTCTTACTCTCTTGCTCAGGCTGGAGTGCAGTGGTGTGATCTTGGCTCACTGCAACCTCTGCCTCATGGGATTAGGTGATCCTCCCACTTCAGCCTCCCAAGTAGCTGGGACTATGGGCACATGCCACCACAACTGGCTAATTTTTTTATTTTTTTATATAGACGGGGTTTTTCCATGTTGCTCAGGCTGGTCTGGAACTCCTGGGCTCAGGCAATTTGCCCACCTCAGCTTCCTAAAGTGTTGGGATCACAGGCGTGAGCCACTGTGCCTAGCCTCACTATTCAACTTCAAAACAGGAGTATGGAATAACAGAAAAAAGCATTTGGCTCAAGATAAGGTGATTATGTTATATTATTGGCTCTGCCTCTCACTCTTTGTTAACCCTGAAAACTAACTTAGTTTCTTCATTTGTAAAACAAGGGGTCTAGACTGAATTCTTTCTAAGGCCCTTTTCATTTCTGATTTGATGAGTGTGGTTGTGATGAAAAGGTCTGACCAAAGCTTCCCAGGAATATCTGCCCATACATATCACTGAAAACATTACCTATGTCCCAGTTTCTCTTCCTTCTTACAATGGTGATGTAAACTATCAAATGAGAAAAGTTCCACTGTATTCTATAGTAAGCACCTTGAGAATGTGTCTACATACAGACAATAATTGGGGTACTTGATGTGGGTCTCCCTGTAACAGGAGAGAATTCTAGGTCTTTTAAACAGAGTTAAAATACATTCTGTCCTTGTAGAACAAAGCAAAATAATTTTCTATAATGATTTCAGTGGAAACAAGTTGAGAGAAGGACTAGGCTTAAAAAATATAAAAAATTAAAAATAAACTTAAGAAAGGGTTTTTGCATGTGAAATGAACAACGTAGAAAAAATAAATAATGTGACAAAAATCTTTTTTAAAAAATCCTTGCTCACATGGTTTGTGCTTTGAGATCTTATTTCTTGTCTTTCAATAGTTTGGTTTGAGAAGTTGGCGTGAATAATCTAGCATGCCTTAAATTATGGGTCCATAGTGGACAACTGTAGTAAGTACAGGGTGACTACAGTGGCAATGCTTTCAGGTATGCTTTCAGTCCTCACACAGGAGAGGTTGAATTTCCTATTCTTCCAGGAACTTATAGTTAAAATAAAAGAAATACACAAAACACATCAGTTCATTTCTGACATTCTCAAATCAGTGAAGACGGAGTCATAGAATTCGCCTTCATTTTTACTAATTTGGTCTTGATCCAAAGGGCAGTTGGGTACAATTTATCTTTTATGCCCATGTTCATGATTTTTAAAAAGGCCATATTTTCATTATGTTTCTTGAATTTTTTTCTCTATATAATGGAAGCACATTGAAATTAAATAAAACTAAGTATTTTTAATACTCTTACTGCACCTATACAGAAAACCTTCATCTATGGATATGATTGGCCACTGTGGGTGGTGCCCATTATAAATGGCAAGCATTTGGGGAGGGCCCAAACACTGTGCTCAATCAGGCAGGTGCCAACCAAACCAGTTGGATCATGAGAAAAAAGATACAACATGCAGTTTTTGGTTTTTTTTCCTGAGACAGTGTCTCACTCTGTTGCCCAGGTTGGAGTGCAGTGTCGCGATCTCAGCTCACTGCAAGCTCTGCCTCCCAGGTTCACGCCATTCTCCTGCCTCAGCCTCCCGAGTAGCTGGGACTACAGGTGCCTGCCACCACGCCCAACTAATTTTTTTGTATTTTTAGTAGAGACGAGGCTTCACTGTGTTAGCCAGGATGGTCTCGATCTCCTGACCTTGTGATCCGCCCGCCTTGGCCTCCCAAAGTGCTGGGATTACAGGCGTGAGCCACCGTGCCCGGCCACAACATGCATTTTTTGAGAAAAATCTTAGTGTCTCACACACTGCTGAGCCTACAGTAAGTAAAACACTGATTGTTTTAATAACTTGAGTCCATTACCTATTACTCGTCGGCAAGGCAACAAAACAAATGAATATGGATAAACTGAAAAGTGGCACTAGCATGCACCATCTCATTTCCTTTGCATATTTCAAAAGAGAAGAGTGTAATATTTATGGAGTGTCTGTGTGCCAAGCATACGCTATCTTTTAAATAGTAGACAGTCAATAAATATTTGCTAACTGAATAAAACGAAAAGCACATAATTTCTCACTTGGAATCTTCTTTTAACCTGACAATCAAAAACAAAATAATAAAATCTACAACAGAGTTTTAAAATTTTTTAGTTTCTGTTTTACCAGTATATTAATAGATTTTTTAAATAGAGGTTAAAAAGATATAGATAGCTATTACAGATAAAAGCTATTATTTACTTGTACTAAAATTGCTTGAATTTTCTGGAAATGTAAATATTTATAAAAATAACTAGGTCATTTATTTCATTTAATGACATTTTCAATTTAATCAAAATTATTAGAGATTCATAAGGTTTTTAATAATTTTAGAACCAATAGATAACTTTGCAATGACTCCATTGTCTTCATTAAAAATGGAAAAAGAAAAATGCAACAGGAAAGAAGCATACCAGAATGCTTATCTCTTTTTTTTTTTTTTTTTGAGATGGAATCTCGCTCTGTTACCCAGGCTGGAGTACAATGGCACGATCTCGGCTCACTGTAACCTCCACCTCCTGGGTTCAAGCGATTCTCCTACCTCAGCCTCCCCAGTATCTGGTACTACAGGCACGCACCACCATGCCCGGCTAATTTTTGTATTTTTAGTAGAGATGGGTTTTCACCATGTTGGCCAGGCTGGTCTCAAACTCCTGACCCCAGGTGATCCGCCTGCCTGGGCCTCCCAAAGTGCTGGGATAACAGGTGTAAGCCACCGTGCCTGGCCTCTTTTTTGGGGGATGAGTAGGGGGCTCAGTGTCTCACTCTATCACCCAGGCTGGAGTACAGTGGCACGATCTTGGCTCACTGCAACCTCTGTCTCCTGGGTTCAAGCAATTCTCGTGCCTCAGCCTCCCAAGTAGCTGGGATTATAGGCATGTGCCATCGTGTCTGGCTAATTTTTGTATTTTTAGTAGGGATGGGGTTTCACCATGTTGGCCAGGCTGGTCTCGAACTCCTGACCTCAGATGATCCACCTGCCCTCGGCCTCCCAAAGTCTTGGGATTACAGGCGCGAACCACTGAGCCAGGCCCAATAAGGCTTATCTTGAGCACCTCTGAGTTTTAATATTTTCCGTATTTTCAAATTTTTCTACAATAAGTATGTATTACTTGAAGGATCAAAAAAGTTATTTTTTTTTAAAGGTAGTGTGGGATACTACCACATTAAATGGAGAGAGTAAAGCAAAACAAAACAAAAGGCAGCTGTGAGTACTCTTTCTCTAGAATGTGACTTTCTTTACTTAATGCCTCCAAAGATTTTTAGGCATGGGTGGGTGAAGGAACAGGGAATAGATATTACAGAACCAGACAATTAATAACCCCCTACTCTACTTAAAGAAAAAAAGGCAGAGTCTAAGTAAATTTAGCTCTGCTCATCCGTTGAGGCATCTTTATACATCACTTGAGGAAATAGCATCTAGATCTTAAAAAAAAAATCACAGAAACACTGTGGAGAGAAAATTTGGAAAGAATGAACCTTGGCTTCTCTTGTTAGAGCTTAAATCTTCTCTAAATCTAACTTCAGAAGGTGGATCCAAGAATTTTTTGTTCTAGTTTTAAAGTAACAAAAGACTAAGTGTAAAAGTGGAATACGTTCCCTTTTAGAAATAGAAGAAGGAGAACAGAAATAGACTGTGAGGGTGTGATTATGATTCTTACAGAATTTTAATATCATGGGCATATTAAGCAAATGCATAAAATGTGTTTTAACACACCCACTATTACTGAACAATTCACATGCGCCTGAATCAGCCTAAATCTCTTCAGGAATTGAGGACTACAGAGCTTCATCTGCATCTGAAATCATCTTTTCCCATATAAACTATACTGAAGTTCAGAGAGTTTCAATAAACTTTCATCCAAAACTAAGCTGATCTAAATGGTACTAATCCTATATGCATTTTCCTACCTGTCAGAGAAAAGCACGGCAGTTACAAAAAAACTGTTAGCAGTACCATGATAAAGAAGCTGATGTACAACGTCATCCCTGTATATAAAAACTGGTTCTAGTATTTCCTTGGTTTCTTAGGTACAATGTAACAGATGCTGTAGTAGGCCTGTTTGTGACTGATGGGTTTTCTAGATCTTTGAAAATTGTATGAGGGGTTGAGAATCGGGAGAATAATGAAAAATGATTACCATACTCCTGATAACACAGACTACATTATAAGATGATGTAAGAGGCCAGGCGCGGTAGCTCACACCTGTAATCCCAGCCAAGGTGGGTGGATTATGAGGTCATGAGTTCAAGACCAGCCTGGCCAAGATGATGAAACCCCATCTCCACTAAAAATACAAAAATTAGCCAGGCGCAGTGGCAGGTGCCTGTAATCCCAGCTACTCAGGAGGCTGAGGCAGGAGAATCTCTTGAACCCAGGCAGCAGAGGTTACGATGAGCCAAGATCACACCGCTGCACTCCAGCCTGGTCGACAGAGTCGGACTCTGTCTCAAAAAAAAAAAAAAAAAAAGATGATGTAAGAGGGGCGGGTGCAGTGGTTCACACCTATAATCCCAGAACTTTGAGAGGCCAAGGCGGGAGGATCACTTGAGGCCAGGAGTTCAAGACCAGCCTGGACAACATAGTGACACCTTGTCTCTACAAAAAATAAAAAATTAGCCAGGCATGGTGGCAGGATTCTTGGGCCTTGCAGTTTGAGGCTTCAGTGAGCCATGATTGTGCCACTACACTCTTACCTGGGTGACAGAGCAAGATCCTGTCTCAAAAAAAAAAAAAAAAAAAAAAAAAAGATGATATAATGGATGGGAAGAGAACAAGAGTCTGAGATCAGGCACTTAGGACTTAGGTCCTGATCCTGGCCTTGTCTCTCACTACCTGGGTGACTATAGTAAGTGACCTGACCTCAGGGTCTGGGCCTTCTCATCTGCGAAAATAGAGAGTGGTCCTAGGTGGCCCCTGAGTCTCTTTCTAATCCCAAAATTCTAATTTCTCTCCTCTTAATGACTGATTAAAACAAAGGTCCAGATCTCTCACATTTTCTTTGAAGAATGAAAGTTCTATGAAGAATTCCAACTCCTTCCTAGTCAAAAGAATGTTCAAAAAGAGCTTGTAAGGTGACAACTTCCTTCCGGAGAGATTCCAACATTGAAAAGTAACCAGAGCCTCATGTCAGCCAAAAAGATTTGATCTATTAGAAAAATGGCATAGCTTAGACGAACTGCAAAATAATTTGTGACTACAGAAAGAGAATAAGGTTTAAAGAGAAAAAGAATACTGTATTAAAGAAAATGTGTATATTTACTTCTTCCCAATCTCAGTTCTAGACTAAGAAGTAATTCAAACACATTTTAAAAATATGATATATCAGAATCCTTAATTTGGCAGTAACATAAATTATATACTTTAAAGGCAAAAACAGATATTCTTATGTGTCTCCTCTTAAGTCAATTAGAATGTTATACTGGTGCATTGGAACAGTGTCAACGAATTCAGTATTCCATGAATTGAAACCAAAATCACACAAACCCTTGGGTCCTTCATCCTTGGGGGGGTGAAGGTTCCTAACTGGATCCCGGATACTGCAATCTGTCCCTGCCCAGGTGAAATCACAAATGCAGGTGGCTTCATTACTACACACCTGTGAAGAAAAAGGAACAGATATGGCATTTTCACTGTATTTTGTAGAATAATAGTGATAAATGTAAAAGAGACACGGGGGCAGGGAGGAAGCTTTAAAAGCTATTTGGAATTTCTTTTTAAAGTTTCCCATGGTCTTGATCACTAGACACAAGGTAATAATGCATAGATCAAATTGTGTAACATTTTTTCCCATTAATTAAAGAAAAAGAGTAAAAGGAAGAAATTCTTCAATTATTTATCTTATTATTTATTATTATTCTTAAATTGAATTATTCATGTTATTCTTAAATTAAATTGAATCATGATATTACATAAGTATACAAATGTCTGATAAGATACTTTTTTCTACTTTGTTCAGAAGTAACTGTTTCTAGGAACCCACTTTAAAAACATATACACTTACTTCAATAAATTAATAGACAGTGGGCTCAAAAGCACTGCTGGAGATAAAAGGCCAGGAGACATAAATCACCAGTGCCTTGTATGACCTCACCGTTACCACGTCCAACACCAAACTCACTTGGTGGCACTTTCCCTGCCCAACAAGGATTCCCCCCCACCACACCCCCACACCCCTAGTCCTTGGTAACCCTCTTTTCTCAGTCAGCCAAGCTGAGGACCCCAGAGTGATCTCTGTCTCCTCCCTGTTTCTCCAGGGACCCACCAGCATGCTGGAATGGAACTGTAATCTAGAGGAAATAAATAACAATGAGCAAACTAGAGACAGGAGTGTTTAAACCCTTATCTCCCTGAGAAACACATTCAGAGATGATAAAATCAAACAAGGAAGCTTTTTAATCTGAAATATTCTAATACCATGATTGTGATTAACAAGGCTGAATTTGGCCTTTTTTGTTGTTGTTGTTGTTGAGATGGAGTCTCGCTCTGTCGCCAGGCTGGAGTGCAGTGGCTCAATCTCGGCTCACTGCAACCTCTGCCTCCTGGGTTCAAGCGATTCTTCTGCAAAAGCCTCCTGAGTAGCTGGGACTACAGGTGCCCACCACCACGCCCAGCTATTTTTTGCATTTTTAGTAGAGATGGTGTTTCACCATGTTGGCTAGGAGAATGGCTGAAATTAAAGTCCAGTCACTGTGACCATGCCAGACCATGAAGGTTCCAGCTGTCACATTGATACCTACTTACCCCATGGCCCGAACAGACTTTACCCTTGGAATCGAGTGGACAGCTGCTCATATTTAGGGCTTGAATTTGTAGGCACTTCCGATCTAAACACATCATAGACGGGCCACATGGCGTTCCATCTTCTACATAGCCCACATCCGTATCATCATCTAAAACTACATGGGCACCACTAAAACAAGAAAGATACCCATATAACTATTTGCACCACACTTAGAACATCATTCCATGAATGAGGCTTGCTCTTCACAAAACCGAAGAGGCTGTCAGTGGATGTGGATTTCTCCTAGCATTTTCTTACTCCTCTTCTTCTTCCCCTTTCCCTACCTTTCCTTAATAAAAGAGCATGAAAAAGAAACACTCTTTCATTATCATTATTACAGTACACATCAACAAGAAAAATGTCATTTGCACAAAGTATATTCTAAATCTTCACGTGTTTTCAAGACCCAACATTAAGACTAAAGGAGAGAAGTATCTATATGAGAACAAAAGAAGCAAATATATCATTAGCTCTCCAAGGCTTTCAGATGTAGCATGGTAGAAAAAAGCAGACGATGAACAAAAACAGCAAATGAAAAATATTTTGAAAATTATTATTCTTACTTCAGAAGATCTGATTATCCATAATTGAAAAACATAAACAAATCAGTTATTTTCTATTGATATTTACAGACATGCCTAGCTTAATGATGGGGATAATATTCTAAGAATTGTGTCATTAGTCAATTTTGTCTTTGTGCAAATGTCATAGAATGAGCTTACACAAACTTGGATGGTATAGCCTACTATACACCTACACTGCTAGATGGTCTAGTCTATTGCTCCTGGGCTACACTTCTGTATAGCATATTATACTGTACTGCAAACTGTGGGCAATTATAACACAATGGTAAGTACTTGCCTATCTAAACGTATCTAAACATAGAAAAGGGGCAGTATGACTTTTCTATGTTTAGATACGTTCAGATAGGCAAGTACTTACCATTGTGTAAAAAATTTCAGTCAATGACAGACCACATATATGACAGTGGTTTCATAAGATTATTTCATGTGTTTTAGTGCTTACTTCTAAAATTTCAAAGTTAGGTATAATTTGAATTTGAATGATAATGCTATAGTCACTAATAGAATATCTTGCTGAATATTTAACAAATATGCTAGTTTAGTATATACAACAATATAATTTAACAAGGCTATTTTATCTAAAGGCATGAAAACACACATTCAAATAAAGCTTGTATACGTCAAAGTAACTAGCTTTAGAGACTACAAATTTATTCCAGGAGGGATCTTACTAAGACCCTGTTAGAATTGTCTTCAGAGCCATTTAAAAGCAAGAAAAAAAAAAGTAACCATTTGACTGAGACAGCATTAGCCAATTTAGTACCCAATGAATTTACTAAAATTACTTTTGGATAATCCCAAATCTTATATTACCTCACTTAAGGTGAAGATATGGTACTCTAAGGATACTAAAAGTAAAAGTTTGCAGACGCTGAAGGCAATTCTGCAGGGGGAAGCCCAAAAGTGTTTTGAGCAACAACAATACCATTGAGTAAGAGAATAGTATCTTCGAATTATAACTACTTTGAAGGGAACAATACCTATTTGGAATATAATATGACTCCCCGACTAAACAAAAATAAGCCTCATATCTACATGCCTTGTACTCACAGACAACTGGATATCAAATGTTTGCTTATCGGTATACATACTATTTTAATAAATATTTTCTATATATGATTAGGTATTTGTTAAGCCATCTTCCAAACCAGACATACACTTCATAAACTATAGCTTAAATTCTTTTTCTTTTCAGTCACAAAATAAATACACACACAGTGTTCAAAATAGTGGCATACTCTAATGCTTAAAACTTTAATAATGGGTTAGAATGAACACCATAATTCTACTCCTAAAATTATGATGACAAAGAAGGCCATATTACTACTAACTAGTATAATTTTGAGCAAATGTAAGCTGCAAGTCAATATACAACTTTGTTTCTTTTTAAGTGACTGTCAATATGAAAGGTGATAATAAAATCTAAATTAACTTTCCTCTTGTAAAAACTAGAAAAATCTTTGATTTCTGATTTTTTTGAAATTTCATTTTGTGAAATTTGTAATTCTCATGGCTTATTAGGTCTTCTAATATTTAATATGTTACCTGCAGTCAATCACCCGGCCTTGATGGTAGAAGGAAGTTGGAATGATCTCACCCTGAAGTTGACCAATACGTGGAGCTCGAGTAAGATTGGTACAGAGTAAGAATCCACAGAACACATCACTGAACATGTGTAAAGAAAACAAACAGACCAGACAGGAGGAATCAAGCTCAAAAAATCAAAACGATTCGGTCCACATTGATTCAAATTTTTAAAATATTATCTTTCTTTCTAAACAAAAACATTTGATCATATATCATTGGTAGGTGATAACCTCCTCCTTCTTTGCTAAGAGGATCACAGTTTTGTTTGGAACAGCAAAGTGCCCAGCCCTGAAAGGTGGATCATGACTGCTGTCTCATCTATTCTTGGTACTCCCATTCTCGACGCCCACTTTCCTATCCATTCCCCCTTCTCGTCTTCCTAGAGTTAAAAGTGGCCCCTGGGCTGTGAAGATGTGAGGAGAAGCTGGCTAGGGAGTGGCTGGGAGGATTTTGTTTTCTGGATAAAAGGTTAGAGACTGACAGGGAGAAGACCTTTTGCTCCTATCCTTACTTCCTACCTTTGAATGTGTAGCTTTTGTATCCACTTTACAATCATGAGTTCACAAAGCATAAGGACAAAAAATCAACATGCTAAGGGTTACAGGATGGAGGGGCAGAAATTATCTGGGTCTTTGGTGACCTTGTTAAATTCATGCACCATGAGGACCTCTACCTCCAGTCTATCTGTTAAGTAAACAATGACTCCTAAAAAATGGGCAAAGAATTGAAGTGGCACATCACAAAAAAAGGAAATCCATGTCCAACAAATGTACAAAAATGTGCTAGATTCCACTTGTAATCTGGGGAAATGCAAATTAAAACCATGCTAATATAGCAGGTCACACCCACCAGAACAGATAAAAGCAAAAAGTCTGATAATACCAAGTGTTGGTGAAATATGGTACAATAAAATTCTTATATACATAATACTGATGGTAGAATTTACTAGTTCAGCCATTTTAGAAAACAGTCTGACATTATTTGGTAACAATGATAAGATCCCCTATGACTTAGCAAATTTTCTACTTATGTACAGGCCTTACAGAAAGAGGTACAAATGTGCACTAGGTTACATATACAAGAATATTCATAGCAGCATGGTTCCTAACAGCCAAAAAATGAAAACAAACTAAATGTTCATCAACACAGAATGGAGAACTAAAGTATAGTATATTCATTCATTTGTGCATTTATAAAAGTGAAACAAATAAATAATAAAAATGAACAACAGACAGCTATACACACCACAGAAAACTCTTAAAATGCTGGACTTGAGAAGCAAAATACAAAATAATACATGAAGCATTAGGGATGAAAACAGGCAGTAAAACTCTAAAGAAAAGCAAGAAAGTGACTGCCACAAAAGTCAGGATGAAGGTATCTGCACTATTTCTGGGATGCTGCAATGTTTTATTTCTTGACCCATGTAGGAGTGACATGGGAGTTCACTTCATAATTATTTGGTAAAATGTATATTTATTTGTTATTTATTTTTATGTTTATACATTTCACAACTTAAAAAAAAAATAGAGATGAGGACTCACTATGTTGTCCAGACTGGTCTTGAACTCCTGGACTCAAGCGATCCACTCGCCTCAGCCTCCCTAAGTGCTGGGATTACAGGCATAAGCCATCGTGTCTGGTCATATATTTCATGATTTTTTCAAGTTTCAAACACATTAATTTCCCTTAACTTATTGGGGATTGGGTATTCTATTACCAGATACTCAAAAGCTATCCTTTACAATAATCTAATCCAATGCCTCTCAAACTTTTTGAGGTCATGAGACACAGAGAGATAATCAGATTCTCTAGGACATGGAGTGAATGAATAAAGCTAATCAAATTCAAGATGTCCAATCCCATGGATTTTGACTACTTCAGGCTCCCCTTGCTCCTATCCCCTGACACCTCGAGGACTGAGGATCAACACCTTGGAACATCTGTGCTTCACTTATGAGACATCAGATAAGAAGCTCTGTTCTCTATTATTTTGGTTTAATTTTTTAAAAATTATAGTCAAAGATTTGTTGCCTACTGTGGCCTCATCCATCATCAAAGACTAAATGGAAATGCAAAGTTTTGTAAAATATAGCAGAGATCATTAACTGAGAATAAAGCTTCCCTTAAATTCTTGCTCTGCTTCAAAATTAGGAGAATTTTCATTGCTTTAGAAGGAAAAGGAAAGAGGTTTGGGCTATTCCTTAATGATTCCATTGTTCCACAGTAATTCAATTAACCTTAATAACCTAATTAATGAGAATTCTAACTTTCCTCAACTAATCAAATAAATATCAGGCTGGACGTGGTGACTCACGCCCATAATCCCAGCACTTTGAGAGGCTGAGGAGGGCGGATCACTTGAGGCCAGGAGTTCAATACCAGCCTGGCCAACATGGTGAAACCCTATCTCTACTAAAAATACAAAAAGTAGCCGGGCATGGTGGCAGATGCCTGTAATCCCAGCTACTCAGGAGGTTGAGGCACGAGAATCATTTGAACCCAGGAGGTGGAGGTCGCAGTGAGCTGAGATCATGCCACTGTACTCCAGCCTGGGTGATAAAGCGAGACTCAGTCTCGAAAAAAAAAAGAAAGGGAGAAAGAAATATCAATGTGCTCTGAAAGCATCTCATTTCCTGAGTAAAGATGGCTTTAATATGTACTAACTAGATGCTTTTTGGAAGGGAAAAAAAATCTCTGGTGTAGATATTAGATATCTGATTAAATCAAATGTTACTACACTTGTGAAATGATAAAAAACACAGTAAGATTTCACGTTGGTCGCAAAAATATATACGGTCTATATAGTTTGCATTTAAACTACATGTATACTACTACACTCATAGGCCATATATTCTAGTAAAAGTAGAAAATTAAAAGCTAGTATTAATTTGTAATGCTCTGGCAAAGTATCTCGTCAGAACAAAAATGAAGTAAAATGTGGCACCTGAGAAATTTTCTGAATTTTGTGAAAATGGCATGAATCTGTAGCATAGTAACAGTTTAATCTATAGCCATTTGCCTCTAGATATAATAATACCTATTAAAAATAAATACTTTAAATTTTGGAATGGTGAACACTTAGAAAAAAATCATTAGCATTTATTTTGTGCTCATTTTGCACTTGCATAAGAAGGGCTTCCAAGTCCAGTGACTATGCCCTTAGAGCTGACCACTCACTGTTTGCTGCACTGAATCCACCGGTCTCCATCCTTCCCGCAGTTTCCCTTCTCAGTGCCTTCTGTATTCAGCTTTTCATAGCAGAACTTGTCAGACCCTGCAGCCTCTTTTGGAGATAGGCAAGAGAAGAAAATTAATTTTCATTTTCTTTGTTATCCATAACCAGTAGTGTGCCAGTAAGTGTTTAACACCCGATTCTCCAGAGCAAGGAAAAAGAACATCCTGATTTGTAGCATTTGCAAGTTTCCATGGTATAAATTCTCCATGGCTGATTTCACACTCAATGTGATATCCATGGGCTTCCAAAATTCCTGAAAATTTAACAATTGGCTCTTGCAAGCTAATACAAAAAAGCTCCAAAACAACACTGTTTTTAGCCTGAGAAATAAATTTCTCTCCAATCCTTGTTGGTGAGTTTGAGGATGGAAGGTGCGAATGATTATCAGCAGGAATTGGTGAAGTGACTGACACACAGGAAACTAACATTCTTAATCTTGTTTTATATCAATATTAGGAGATAATTATAAAGTCGTAGCCTATTGAGATTTTATGTTGGCACCTGAGTTTTGATAATTAAACCTTTCAAAATACAAATATGTCTATTATCTTTTCTCTGTCAAAACTAAAGCACTGAATGTAAATCAGTCAAATAAATGATATTTGCCAAACTCTAAAATCACTCATGCCAGAGCCCTGTTCTCATTCTGTGTGCTTTCTTTTCCTTTGGGGTGAACCCAGCCTTGGCTAGAAAGGCAGACGCATTTCTCATTCTTCCCCCCGTCTGGCCCTCATGAACTGATATTATTGGAGAGGCACTGTAAATGTCAGGAAGAGGATATGCACGTGAACTTTTACGGAATGTACTAAGAATCACAGCCATGTACCTATCTGCATCTCAGGAAGTACATGCATCTCTTCACTTTGAAGTGAGACAGTAAATGACAAAATTTAAAAAATAAGTCTGGTATTTTCCTGCGGTAAAAACCAGAAAGCTAACTTGTGTGTGTGTTAATGGAAAAAAAGGGGGTCAAATGTTAAAACCAAGGTACAAAATAAATCACACAAGTGGCTGGATAATCACACTGTACTCAACCCAATCTTTGCAAATGAATGCAACACCCCTTCTCTGAGAGCCACAGCCATTAAATGGCACTGCTCAGTTCTGACAAGTACCCAACTTAAGCAGTTGTTTTCTATAGTTTTTGTGACTAAGATTCACAGTTCTCTTTATTCTCATCCTTTCTAGATTTTTTTAAAACATCACTCCAAGCTGTGCATCTCTCTCAGCAAGACTGGCAGAGAAGAACACTATTAAGAGAAAATGGTATGTGTAACCGCCAAGCAAGGAGGTGCGACCTACTTGTTCCCCAGATGTACTGACACTGGTTGTCTCTGGTCTTGCACTCGCCATTGTAGCAGCGGCCCTGGGGACAGGAGCACACATGTGAGGCACACAGAGTCAGTTTGTCTTCCCCAATGTTTTTACTACAATGTCTCCTTCTGGTTCACTTGGATAAAGTTTTTTCATTTCATACCCTAATATTTTTATAGTGACCAGTAAGGATCACAAATATCTCAAGAATAAGAGTTAAAACTTTAAAACTCTAAACAGAACTCATTGTACAGCTCTCTAAATGTAAACTAAACATCTACAATTTGAAATTTTACAGCAAACAAAAATTGGTACATTTCTGTGAGAGACACCAAAATGATTTTTAGCTTCTTTTGTGTATGGATGGTTAGGAAACATCAAATCTGCATTTGACATCATGATACTCACCTGTAGGTTATAATATGGCTTCAGGGGAAAAAAAACTCATGACAGATTGTCATATTTTCTTTCACACACCAGGCAGGCTGAAATTACTGAAAGATGGTCACAACTCAATAAATGAGACTCCCAGTTCTTCAGCCATTACATTCTTTTTTTTTTTCTCTTAATCTGGACAATTTGTCACCAGAGGTAAATATATTTAATATTTGGCATAACATGAAGCAACTCTAAATTAGAATCCCACTATAATAATTTACTTGAGTAAAATTCCCTTCAAAGTTATATTAATATTTATCAAAAAAGGAAAAAAAAACTTTCCAATGAATCCTTTTTAAATTACACTTAAAATTTATAGCCCAGCATACCTGATTTTGATTGCATGCATATCCGTCTTGCTTATGAAGATTTGGTGGGCACTGCAAAATATTATCTTTTTAGTTAATATTCAGCATGCTAGGTACCTTCAGATAATGTACATACTATATATAATGCAAGCATGGTGGATATATATAACTAGAAACATTGAGAAAAACACATGCAACTCCTTAAATACGTTATTAATTCAAATTATTTATCCTATTATTGGTAAAATAAGTAAGTAAGGGCCACACAGTGCATGCATTTTATATGTTTCCTCTGTTTATGGTGAGATGGACCAGAATAACAAGTCACATTCACTTGCCTACAGAGTTAAAAGTAGAAGAGATTAAAATGGACAATGAAGGAAATGAATCAGCTTGGTACATAGAACGGTCACATTCAAGAAACTAATTTACAAGAAGTTGCTCAGCTCTCTGAAAATGTCAAATCTGCATTTGACATCATGACATTTTACCTATAGGCTACTTTAGTGAAACAGAAGAAATACTCTGCCTTTCAACACAAAGTAAGTGCTATATCTCCATTATATTAATAGTTCTGACCTCTTCAAACTGCAGACATGTTACTAGAACAGTCTGTGATGTGATGGTTATTTCTTTTTATAGGTCTATTTATCAAATCATTTTTTAAAGAAATACTTCATTTCCCCCCAAAGTTACTCTCTGTACATTTTATTGACTACATTTAAGAGAATGGAAAAAGATCAAGTCAAAGGCCCTGCTACAGAGTTTAAAACAAATACAAAAAGAAAAAAATATGCAGGCATGGCAAATAAATAAGAAACAGCAGTGTGCACTGAGGTCCTCCCTCAGTCTTCACCTTCTCAGTAAATGATGTTCCATCCTTCCAATTGTTCAAGCCAAAGGCCATAGTCATCTTCTATTCCCCTCCTCTCTCACTCTTCCTCCATCTAGTCTGTCCATAAATCCTGCTAGTTCTATCTTCAAAATATAATTCCAATCTGACCCCTTTTCTCCACCTCCACTGCTCACACCCTGTCCAAGCCACCACCACCTCTCACCTGGATTACTGTAATAGCCTCCCACCTGAGTCCCTTGCTTCTATCCTAGTCACCTTAGAGTTTACATTGCTATCAGAGTGATCTCTTTAAAAAGGTAAATACCAAATCACATCGATCTTCTGTTTCCCAGCTTACTCAATGACCTTCCAAGCTCAACATGATCTGCTCCTATACTTTCTCACCCCGTCATCTCTGTGACATCATTTTCTGTTCACCCATGGCTGATGTGAGTCCACGTGGACACACCAGTCATGCTGCCACCCACAGCCTTTGCCTTTGCTTTCCCGTTGTCGCTCTGGATTTCGGCATGGCTCATTCCCTCACCTTTGTTAGAGCTTTGCTCAAATATCATCATCCCAAAGAGGCCTTTATAGAACCTATGCTCTTCAAAGCTGCAGCCCCTCCAATGCTGGCACTCTCTGGGGCTGTGCCAATTTAGGATAAGGGCTTTAAGGGCTTTTTATTTATTTATTTATTTTTAGAGAAGTCTACAAGTTTTTTTCTTTGTTTTTTTTTCTTTTCCAAAGCACTTATCACCAACTGACAATTCATAAGTTTTACTTACTTGTTTGTTCATTGTTGCCCCATCATAATGTGAGCTCCATGCAAGCAGGATTCTATGTTTTGTTCCTTACTGCTGCCCTAGTACCTACAACAACACCAGGCATGTGGCAGGTGTGCAAGTACTGTGAGCTCACAGAGAAAATAAATGAATGACTCAATAACCAGATACGACTATGTTATTCTATGCTGCACATATTGAGCCATTTATCAAGTTCACCACAGAAAGATAACAGAACTAATTTAGCATTCCTAAGAAGCAGTAATTTCCTAACAAACATTCCAAGGCAAATGCTTTGGTTCTACACCTTTCTAAAGAATAACTGACTCTCATAAATGTTTCATTCGCCACAGCTTTTCAATCTGGTGAGTATTCAAGGGATCAGCAGTAAAAAGCAGAAATACACAACTACACAAGAGCAGAAATCCCTGTGGTTTCTTTAATCCATCCAGAGCCACTCAAAATGCAATCATTATCTCATTAATCAACTATCATTAATCATTCACTCACTCTTAACCTTATGCAACCAGTGATCGGGATCATGGCGGACAGGAGGCAGGACTAGATTGCAGCTCCGGACAGGGCAGCATGCGGAGGCCTGCACTGTGAATTTTAGCTCCAGATGGACTGCAAGAACAAACTAGCAATCCCAAGAGGACCTACAGACCCTCTGAAGGAAGCAGACTGCTCCTGCAGGACCCAGGAGACACCCAAATACTGTGAGTGCCCCAATTGTGGAAGTGGGAACACACACCCCCGCTGGAGAAGCTGAAGGTCTGTTTGCAGGAAAAGTTTCCGACTTTACCTGGAACTGAGTCAAGCTAGAGAGCCAAGCCAAATACAGGGGTAGAGGAAGCAACAAAAAGGCCCTGAGAGTTCACTGGGTCCCCGAGCAGCCCATTCCTGCCTAGCACCATAGGGATCCAACGGGAAGGTGGCCAGAGGAGCAGGGGGTAAAACTCCACAGGGAGAAGGAATTCTCTAGCTGAACTTTTTAACAATTTGAACTGGGCGAGAAGCCTCCTGGCCATAACTTGGGGGAGGGCACCAATCGGGTGTGCAGACTTCACAGGCCGGGGAAGAACTAAAGCCCTTTTTTCTTGAAGCTGGGACCATCGGGTAAGGACAGGACTAGGCGTGTCTGAGCTCAGACTCTCCTTGGGTGGGTCTTGCTGTGGTTGCTGTGGGGGATGGGGGTGAGACTCCCAGGTCTCTACCTAGGAGGATTATGGCTGCCTCTGCTGAGTCATGCAGGTTGTCAGGAAAGTGGGGGAAGCCAGGAGTCACAGGCCTCACCCAGCTCCCACACAAACTGAAGAGCTGATTATAGTGGAAGACAAAGGGCATATAATCTTGGGAGTTCTAGGGCCCTGCCCACTACCGGTCCCTCTCCACACTACTACAGCTGATGCTTTCTGGAAAGCACGACCTTGTGGCAGGAGGCCAACCAGCACAAAAATAGATCATTAGACCACCAAAGCTAAGGACCCTCATGGAGTCCATTACACCCTCTGCCACCTCCAACAGAACAGGCACTGGTATCCACAGCTGAGAGACTCGCAGACAGTTCACATAACAGAACTCTGTGCAGACAACCCCCAGTACCAGCCTGGAGCCGGGTAGACTCACTGGATGGCTAGACACAGAAGGGAGACAACAATCACTGTGGTTCAGCTCACAGGAAGCCATACCCATAGGAAAAGGGGGAGAGTACTACATCAAGGGAACACCCGTGGGACAAAAGAATCTGAACAACAGCCTTCACCCCTAGACCTTCCCTCTGACAGAGCCTACCCAAATGAGAAGGAACCAAAAAAACCAACTCTGGTAATATGACAAAACAAGGCTCTTCAACACCCCCCAAAAAATCACACTAGTTCACCAGCAAGGGATCCAAACCAAGAAGAAATTCCTGATTTACCTGAAAAAGAATTTCAGGAGGTTAGTTATAAAGCTAATCAGGGAGAGACCAGAGAAAGGCAAAGCCAAAAGCAAGGAAATCCAAAAAATGATGGAAGAAGGGAGAAATATTCATGGAAATAGTAACTTAAAGAAAAAACGATCAAAAATTCAGGAAACTTTGGACACATTTTTAGAATGTGAAATGCTCTGGAAAGTCTCAGCAATAGAAATGAACAAGTAGAAGAAAGAAATTAAGAGTTCAAAGACAAAGTCTTCGAATTAACCCCATCCAACAAAGAAAAAGAAAAAAGAATAAGAAAATATGAACAAAACCTCCAAGAAGGTTTGATATGTTAAACAATCAAACCAAAGAATAATTGGTGTACCTGAGGAAGAAGAGAATTCTTTTTTTTTTTTTTTTGAGACGGAGTCTCGCTCTTTCGCCCAGGCCAGAGTGCAGTGGCACTATCTCGGCTCACTGCAACCTCCGCCTCCCGGGTTCACGCCATTCTCCTGCCTCAGCCTCCTGAGTAGCTGGGACTATAGGCGCTCGTTACCACGCCCGGCTAATTTTTTGTATTTTTAGTAGAGACGGGGTTTCACTGCGTCAGCCAGGATGGTCTCGATCTCCTGACCTCGTGATCCGCCCGCCTTGGCCTCCCAAAGTGCTGGGATTACAAGCATGAGCCACTGTGCCCGGCCGGAGGAAGAGAATTCTAAAAGCTTGGAAAACATATTCGAGGGAATAATCGAGGCAAACTTCCTTGGCCTTGTGAGAGACCTAGACATGAAAATACAGGAAGCACAAAGAACACCTGAGAAATTCATTGCAAAAAGATCACCTAGGCACATTGTCATCAGGTTATCCAGAGTTAAGACAAAGGAAAGAATCTTTAGAGCTGTGAGACAGAAGCACCAGGTAAACTATAAAGGAAAACCTATCATATTAACAGCAGATTTCTCAGCAGAAACTCTACAAGCTAAAAGGGATTGGGGACCTATCTTCAGCCTCCTCAAACAGTTATTAGCCAAGAATTTTGTATTCAGCCAAAGTAAGCATCATATATGAAAGAAAGATACAATCGTTTTCAGACAAACAAATGCTGAGAGAATTTTCCACTACCAAACCACCACTACAAGAACTGCTAAAAGGAGCTCTAAATCTTGAAACAAATCCTGGAAACACATCAAAACAGAACCTCTTTAAAGCATAAATCACACAGGATCTATAAAACAAAAATACAAGTTAGAAAGCAAAAACAAAAAAACAAAACCAAAGCACACAGGCAACAAAGAGCATGATGAAAGCAATGGTACCTCACATTTCAACACTAACATTGAATGTAATGGCCTAAATGTTCCACTTAAAAGATACAGAAGCACAGAATGGATAAGAACTCACCAACCATCTGCTGCCTTCAGGAGACTCACCTGACACATAAACACTCACATAAACTTAAAGTAAAGGGGTGGAAAAGGCATTCCAAGCAAATGGACACCAAAAGCAAGCAGGAGTAGCTATTCTTATATCAGACAAAACAAACTTTAAAGCAACAGTGGCTAAGAGACAAAGAGGGACAGTATATAATGGTAAAAGGCCTTGTCCAACAGGAAAATATCACAATCCTAAACATATATGCACCTAACACTGGAGCTACCACACTTACCAAACAATTACTAATGACCTAAGAAATGTTGGCCGGGCGTGGTGGCTCACGCCTGTAATCCCAGCACTTTGGGAGGCCAAGGCGGGCGGATCACCTGGGGTCAAGAATTCGAGACCAGCCTGACCAACATAGTGAAACTCTGTCTCTACTAAAAATACAAAAATTAGCCAGGCATGGTGGCACCTGCCTGTAATCCCAGCTACTTGGGAGGCTGAGGCAGGAGAATCACTTGAACCTGGGAGGCAGAGGTTGCAGTGAGCCGAGATCGCACCACTGCACTCCAGCCTGGGCAACAAGAGCGAAACTCCATCTCAAAAAAAAAGAAAGGAAGGAAGGAAGGAAGAGAAAGGACATAGACAGCAACACAATAATAGTGGGGGACTTCAATACTCCACTGACAGCACTAGACAGGTCATCAAGACAGAAAGTCAACAAAGAAACAATGGATTTACACCATACCTTGGAACAAATGGACTTAACAGATATATACAGAACATTTCATCCAACAACTGCAGAATACACATTCTATTCAACAGTGCATGGAACTTTCTCCAAGATAGACCATATGATAGGCCATAAAACAAGCCTCAATAAATTTAAGAAAACTGAAATTACATCAAGCACTCTCTCAGATCACAGTGGAATAAAACTGGAAATTGACTCCAAAAGGAACCTTCAAAACCATGCAAATACGTGGAAATTAAATAACCTGCTGAATGAGCATTGGGTCAAAAACAAAACCAAGATGGAAATTAAAACATTCTTCGAACTGAATGACAATGATGCCACAACCTATCAAAACCTCTGGGATACAGCAAAGGTGGTGCTAACAGGAAAGTTCATAGCCCTAAATGCCTACATCAAAAGGTCTGAAAGAGCACAGACAGACAATCTGAGGTCATACCTCAAGGAACTAGACAAACAAGAACAAACCAAACCTAAACCCAGCGGAAGAAAGAAAACAGCCGAGATCAGCACAGAACTAAATGAAATTGAAATAACAACAACAACAACAAAATACATAAGATAAATGAAACAAAAAGCTGGTTCTTTGAAAAGATAAATAAAATTGATAGACCATTAGCAAGATTAACCAAGAAAAGAAGAGAGAAAATCCAAAAAAACCTCACTAAGAAATGAAACAGGAGATATTACAACTGACACCACTGAAATCAAAAGATCATTCAAGCTACTATGAACACCTTTACACACATACACTAGAAAATCTAGAAGGGATGGATAAATTCCTGGAAAAATGAAACCCTCCTAGCTTAAATCAGGAAGAATTAGATACCCTGAATAGACCAATAACAAGCAGTGAGATTGAAATGATAATTTAAAAATTACCAGCCAAAAAAGGTCTAGGACCAGATGGATTTACAGCAGAATTCTACCAGACATTCAAAGAATTGGTACCAATCCTTATGACACTATTCCACAAGATAGAGAAAGAAGGAATCCTCCCTAATTCATTCTATGAAGCCAGCATCAACCTAATACCAAAACCAGGAAAGGACATTACCAAAAAAGAAAACTACACACCGATATCCTTGATGAACACAGATGCTAAAATCCTTAGCAAAATACTAGCTAACTGAATCCAACAACATATCAAAAAGATAATCCACCATGATCAAGTGGGTTTCGTACCAGGGATGCAGGAATGGTTTAACATACACA